>NC_000005.10:90412837-90715867 GCF_000001405.40 Homo sapiens | reverse complement strand
CTTTTAATTCTCACAATAACCCTATGATATTGATTATATTATTATTCTCATTTTACAGAACCTATGATTGAAGGACATTCAGGTAATTTGAAGAAGTTTACAAGCTGGGAAGTGGCAGACCTGGTGCACAAAGTCAGAAAGTCTGCTTCAGATCATACATTCTTAAAGACTATTATAATATCTCTAAAGATCAGCTATTTAAAAAAAAAAAAGAAAAGTAGACCTTATTCACAATAGCAACAATACTTAGAAATTAGCCTAATGTAAAAACTATAAAACCTATATGAAGAAAATCACAAAATTTTAATGTATAACTGTGGCAGACACTGTCAGCACCTCCCTTTCACCCACTCTAAAGTCACCTGCAGCAGTTCCTATTTGCCTAGTGGTCTCTCTCTACCTGAAGACAGCATCAGCCCATGCAGGAGTAAGGACAGAACTGTTGCAAATTTAACACCCAAGAGCAACTCTCAAATGATCAGAAATAGGAGCTGGTAAATGAACAGCCCAGATTTCTTTCCTTGTCATGGGACAGTCCTAAGCTTCATTCAACCCAGTGTCTAAGAGGAACACCAGCAGGACTGAGTGTCAGTTGCCCACAGCAGTACTGCTCATTAGGACATCATCTATCAGCTTTCCTCTCTCTCACCTCCTCATTTCTCATCAGGCCTCCAGAGATCACCTCTCAAATAAACTAAATCCTTGTCCAAATCCTTGTCTTACAGTTTGGTTTTGAGAGAACACAAGGGAAGGCAATGGTATAAAAGATCTAAATTACTGGAGAGGCATTTTATATTTCTAAATTGGAAAACTCAATATTACAGTGATGTCAAATCCATCCAAATTAATCCATAATTTTAATTCAACCCCAATCAAAATAGTTTGTTTGTTTTATAGATCTCAGTTTGAATCTAATGTTCATATGAAAGAGACTTTTTTAAGGAATAGGTGAGATAATTTAGAGAAAGAAAAAGAAAAATATTTGGCCTGAAAAACTAGCAAAATGTACTTCAAGGCTATGATAAATAAAGCAGTATGCTATTAGCACATAAATAGGCAAATAGAACAAAACAGAGTCCAGGAAAATGATAGGTAGATGGATAGAAAAAAGGAAAAAAAGAAGGGTAGATATTTCATGTTGAAAATTAATGGCTAATGGATGTTTCATTCTCTGTACGATATGAGGGTATTATTTTCTGCATTTTAGAAGAAAAATGAAGTTGTATCCTTGCCTCACACACTACCAATGAATAAATTCCTGATATGTGCAATAATGTAAATATAAATCAAAACAATGAAAATAGTAGAAAATATAGTAAAATATTTTATAGCATTTGGGTGAAAAGACCTAAGAAAGTAGGATTTAAAAGCATACCAGAAAATATTTGATATTTTAAATTTAAAAAAATTTTTATAATAAGAGACATTATAATAAAAGATAAATGACAGTCTGGGAGAAATATCTGCAATATATTTAAGAGGCAAAGTGTTGAATTCAAAATATATAACTATTCCTACAAACCAGTAAAGCAAAAACCACAGGAAAGTACATAAGGGATACGAAAAACAGGATCACAAAGTAAAAAAAAAACAAACCAGTGTCAAGCTCACTAACAATCAGGAAAATGAAAGAAAAAATGCACAATAATGTATAATACAACCACACATTTTTCAGTCATTAGAAATGGCATATAAAAATTTAAAGACTAAAGAAATTGCTGGTAAGGATATGGAGAAACTATCGTATATGTACACATTGAAATGTAACTAACAAAGAAGGCAACGGATGAGTCCTTTCACTCAACATGCACTGTACTCAACAGATAATCTTAATTATCCACATATATAGAGATTTATGTAAAAGGATATTTATTGAAACTTTATAAGGGTTTGGAAATAGTCTCAAGGTCAATCAATGGGGCATGGTTTAAGAAACGACTCACTGTCAAAGCACTTTTTGCTCTGAGGAATTTCTTAATCTTTAAAAATAGAAAATTACAAATATAAAGTAAGCTTGAGAGAGCCCAATACTATATTCCTTTCTCCTACTCATGGAGGTGGGCATGTCACCTATGTAATTTCAATCAGATTTTTATAAGGACCTTATAGGAATGCATGAATTTGAATACTCTCTCTTTCCTGTTATATGAAATGCAGAAGAATGGTCCTGATCACCATCTTATGACAATGAATAACATTAGCCTTGCAATGAAGCCAATATTCCAAAAGGCAAAGAAAAGAGACAGAAAACCTCAGGATCTCTGGCAGCATTAAGTCCTGCTCCTGCCTCATCTAAAGGTGTATGTCGCTGTATCCTCAGGTTAAATAAACCAATAAATTATATGTGTTTAAATCCATTTGCATTGGGTTTTCTGTTATTTGTACATAGACTATTCTCAACCAACACATGGTATTCATTCATACAACGCTTTACCACCCCACTATGTTCTACAAGAAAATGATTTGATCTCAAACATATACTCTTTGAACTTGAAACAACAGCCACAGCCTCAAAAAAAAAAAAAAAGGCTTCTGGGGACTTAGAAATATCAATGTATTTTATCAAAATAGCAAGAAAAGTAAAAACCAATCCTTGGGTTACTCAGAATTCTTTTATATTTTCTACTACAAATCAAATTTCTCCATAAAGGCCAATAATTCAGGAATGCAAATATTCATCAAACTAAAATTTTTTTTAAAAAAAACCAGCTCAGCCACTGACTAAAACAGGAGTTTGAAGGGTCAGTCAGCATTCAATCCTTGAAATTCATTTGGCTTGTCTATCATCAGAATGAACGGAAGTGACTTTTTAAGAGCCCTTCCAACCCTCAAGTTCTGTATGTTCCCGAGTTTTCTCCTTTGTCTCTTTCTTACCTTCTCTAAACAGTCAGCACAATACCTATCAAGCAATGGAGTAGGATGACTCTTAGCAACAATATCAAACTGTTCCAACCAAGAATTACGTCTCCCATAATCTGTCTGAAGTATCAGTATACCTCAACACTATGCGGAAATACTACAGAGTAGATGACACTAAAGGAGTTCCTTTACTCCTTTGTACAAAGGTACAAAGTAATTCTACAAAGGTAGAATTACTACCTTTGTAATTCCTTCTATTGCTAAGTAGGAAACCAGAACAAAATTCAAATTCCAAAGGAAAGACATCTACAAATTAAATAATCCTACAATAACTGAGGAAATAATATTATCTGTAGTATCAACCTACTTTGTCTTTTACATACATGCATATATACACCAACATACACACGTGAGAGGCACTGTTACACAGACACAGGAATTCTGAAATGCTCTAACTTAAAATCATTCTCATTTTAAGCACAGAAAACCACCAAGACTTTCTCATTCCTTTACATCTTCCCCCATATTAAGGAACCCAGCATGAAGGAGAGGAAGCTGTTTATAAGAAATTATTAATTACCTATTGTATTTTTCCCTAGCTCTAGTCCAGGAGAAGGATTTGTTAAAATCAGCTGAAATTTTTCATCTCCTTCTGGAATGTCATCATCAAGAATCATGATATTGACATTTTTATACCTTTCTCCATCAGCAAAATGAAGAATCTGGTCAAAAAGGTAAAAGCAGAATGTATTATATTTATATACACTGTGAGTTTCTATAGAATGTTTGGAAAGAAATACAATATAGTTGTGAATGTAAAGAATAAGCTATTTTACATTGAATTTTGTCTCCTTATATTTTGGTTTATATCTTTTTATTTAAATTGGCAACATTAAGTTTAAAAAGTAAAAATTAAGAGGGGGCTGGGTGCATTGGCTCACGCCTGTAATCCCAGCACTATGTGAGGCCGAGGCGGGCTGATCACTTGAGGCCAGGAGATTGAGAGACCAGCCTGGCCAACATGGTAAAATACACTAAAAATATAAAATACAGTAAAAATACAAAAAAAATTAGCATGGTGGTGGCCACCTGTAATCCCAGCTACTCAGGAGGCTGAGGCAGGAGAATTGCTTGAACCTGGGAGGTGGAGGTTGCAGTGAGCCGAGATCGCACCACTGCACTCCAACCTGAGTGAGAGAGCGAGACTTTGTCTCCAAAAAAATTATAGGGGAAGAGAAGAAAGTAAACATTTGGCTAAGAAATAAAAGGCATGAAGAGACCAAGTAAAAGTATTTTAAAACACTAAACGTGTTTCAGTGAGCAAAAACAAAGAAATGAAAGAGTTAAAATTTTCGTGAAGTGTAAGAAACATTCTGGGAAGATTATCTAATGATATAAATTCTTTAATATTACAGCTTGTATTCTCTAGTATCAAATACTGTAATGAAATAGTTAATGCATACAGAATAACATTTAGAATAGTAATGAAAATTCAATTTATATTTACTAAAATAGTTAAGGGAACTATTTTACCATGAGGAAATCTTCTGTCCTAATTTACTGTGAAAAATACAATGGTTTTTAAGAATAATTTATTTATATGGGACCTAAATCACTGTAATTCTCAAGGAATAATGATTATAAAATAATTTGTAAAAGTCATCTGTGATAGATTTTGAGACCCACCATTGGGGTGAAGATATAATCCAGCCCCACTTGTGCTTCCAAATTCTGAGCATACACAAATAAGGAAACATGGCCAAGAGGTTCTCTGCTCCTCTGGGCTACCAATGTTAAACTTCCATGGGTTTCATTTACTTCAAACCTATAATATAGCAAAAAAACAAAAACAAACAAAAAAAATTAATTTTTCCCTTAGAAACTTTTATTTGGTAGATAGTAAATAATATGAAACCCAGAAGAGGGCTCTCATGCAGCCTTGGCCTTACCTGCTTTGTTGCCATTCAATTACACCTCGGGCCCCATCATTGGCATCAATAATAACTTGTGCAGTCAAACCTTCTGAATCTTAAAAAACATAGAAGCATATCTTAAAATACATATAAATGATTAAAAATATTTTTGATATAGGATTTAAAGACAGTCCCTTTGAAATTATATAATTCATAATGTACAGGTATTATCAACATTACTCAAAAGATGTTTAAGAAAATAAAGAGACAATGCTTATCACGTCTGAATAAGGACACTTTTGGCTAACAAGAGCCACTGATTTATAGAAATTTAATCAACTGAGAACAGTATAAAATAATAAACAACTGAGATTACTATTTTGTTTCTATTATTTTAATTAGTTAAAACATATTTGGCATCTCTATTCTATAATATCACTATTTCAGGAGGAAAGGAAAATGGGGACAGTTGGAAGGAGTAGAAAGAGCAAAAAAAAATGAAAAATAAATGAAAGAAGTGCAAGGAAAGGTACAGAGAAAACAGAGGTGTGCAAAAGAGACACAGAGAGACATGGACACAAACAGAAGTAGAGACACATGGGAAAGATGGGGAAAAAGTTTGGTGAAGTCAAGAGAGATTAATATCAAAGTAAACTTATCTTCCCTTTTTATTTTTATTCTATCCACCAAACTTAGTATGTTACCAATACCTTAAAATATTAACTAACTCTGCTCCTGGTTGGCTTTTTGGTTTCAGTCTTAAAATATTACTAACCCTGCTCCTGGGCTAGTCTTAAAATATTAACTAATCCTGCTCCTGATTAGTGTTTTGGTTTGGTTTTGATTTTTGTTTTTAATACTTTGTTCTTTACCTTTTAAATTTCAGAGGTGCTACCTTAGTCTAGGACACTTATGGTAGCTGCCTGGATGGGGAAAGGGTAGGGAGAGTGTAATTCTCTGTAGAGTGAAAAGAACAACACTGTCCAGGAAAGCATATAAAATCAGGGTTTGCATCCATCAGACAAGAGGCTAAAAAGCAGAGATTCTAAAATCAGACCACACCATTGAAGTCAGCTCTACCAGTCTCCAGCTGTGTGATTTGGGGCATATTACGCAGCTTCTCTTAGCCTAAGCTACCTCATCTGTAAAATGAGAAGAATGTAAGTAATGATATTACTAATCTACAAAGCACTTGAAATAGGAGCATTAGAAACCACTCAACAGAAGTTAACTATTCAAATTATCTCAGTAAGAGGATGAAAGAAATATGAATTGTTTTGTTAGTTGTCTTAGTGTGAATAATAATTATCTTGTAATAATACTTGATGTAAACAGCCTACTCATTGGAATCATCTATTTCTTTAGCAAAAGAACTGAATTTATTCAAACAATAGGTTAGAAACTGATTATTTCCTTTCAATATTTTCAAAGTTATCACAGTGAGCTTCAGAAATGAATGAGGAATGCCTGTTTCCCAGGCCACTGCTCCTGGCCATGCTTCTCTTCCTTTAATCCAAATTAACTTTCCCCTGTCCAGCACTCCTTCTAACCAACTCAGCACCACCCTCTAGTGGGCCATCACACCTACAGGCTTCAGACAAAATTTCCCAGTAGTAAATGTCCACACTGAAAGAGGAGTTTGTGTTTAAACATAGGAATACATCTTTTCAAAGGAATCTAGATAAGTTTGTACCAAGGCTCAGGTTTTACCTTTCAGTCTGTAATGAATTAACTGAGTCTTTTCTAAAAGCATGAAAAGAAAAAGATAAAAGGTCATGAAAGAAGCAGAGAACACAATAAAGCAACAAAGAAGCAAATATCAGCACTGCTTAACCTAAAAGAAAATAAAAACATCTGAGAGTTTGGAGATCTACTGAAAACAGCTAATTTTAAAAGAAAATGAAAGGAAAATACCTTCCAAAGAGCTATTTTGAGGATTACAAATTTGTTTATAAAATAGTTGTAAAATTTAAAGAGCATCACACAATAATTTTTAATGTCTTTACATTGTTCATTGTAAAAATTGCAATATATGAGAGTATCAAAAATAAATATAAAAGCCCATCATATTTTAACACATAGCTAAGATTAACAAAACAGCACAATGATCACTTCTGATTCAAAAATGAAGTTTCTTCATTTCATTTGAAGTGAGCAAAAAGAAACAAACAAGAAACCCCTCATACCTAGTCTGGGAGGAAATGAAGTTGAAGCAGCCATGGTAAGTCCAACGTAAGTTAAATTCACCAGGAAATATTCTTCTAGCTCTGGTACATCATCCTGAAAAAATTACACTCATTAAATTCCTTTAGTTATACTCTCAAAGTAATTAACCCTCAGAAACTGTTTTTAAATTAAACTGTATAATTAGTATACAGAAGATACAAAAATGCAACCATAAAGTAGACAGATGTAAATTAGAAAAAATAAACATAAACGTATTAAACTTATACTTGGTTGTATAGGAAGTAATTAGGTTGACCCACATGAAACCACTTAAATATTTTAACATTTTAAATATAGATTTATATAATATGTAAACCAATTATATAAATATATAAGCCTAATTATTTTAAGCATAATATGAACAAAACATTTGAAATTACCTTAATATCTAATGTGTAGAAGGAGGAATAGAACACCATGGAAAAAAAAAAAGGCTCTGCAGTTCAAGGAGGCCTAGTACCAAATTCTATAATTTTAAGTAAGTTACTTAAATTTTAGAACTCCCAATTCTACTATCTCTATAACGGGGCAATAATAGCTCCTTTTGGGTGGGAGATTGTAATAATGATCACAAATCATATGTGTAGGGTGGCCTAGAGAAAATGCTTTAAAATTAATAGCTATTATTATTAATCACCAGTCCACATAATAGCAATGAAAACAAGGCAGATACCAAAAACATAAGGATTAGCAAAATCCATGTCAAGAGTGATCAGCCAGCCATCAATATTTACAAAGAAACACAATGTGTATGTATATTTATGCATATATAATGTCAGTACACACTCACCAACATATGCTTTTCTCCTCACTTTATTTAATGGAGTCATGTTTCCATGTGAAAATATAAGTGAAAATCATGGTCTCTAGATTGTCTTATGTAATATATGGACCAACATGAGTTACAAGGTCAGTGATATAGAAGGACTGCTGTGCCTACTCTTAATGTCCCCCACCCCCCACGCAATACTTCCTCCCTACCACTCCCCAGGGCAGCTTGCTCCTATATGCATAGGCCTGCAGTCTCTTAATCTTAGTGCTAATCAGGGAGCAGAAAAGGTTGCAAAGATCTAGGATCAAATAAAGGTGGAAACAAAAACCCAATGTTCAAAAAAATCTAGACTCCTCAGAGAAAAGAAGGGTGACTGTGTATTCTCTGCTTTAAAAACTAACATATCTAAGGAATAATCAATCCATTTATTTATATTGTTATTAATAGAGTATACATTTGAAAGATAACTTACTTGAAAGCTTTATCAAATCTTGTGTTATATCCCATATACTGACATAATATTACCTTTAATTTTACAGCTTTGGAATTTTTATACTGTTATATTAGGTCACAGTGCCACAGTAATCAACAAAATAAGTTACTGACTTCAGTTGGTAGATGGTTTACACCACTTATAATTCTGTAAAAGCACAAGCCTCCAAGATAATAAAATACATTTTAAAATAGAACTCCCAAAATACATAGTAATTGAAAAATATTTTCTCAACTGCAATATTCATGCTTTCTCCCTCTTTCCCTTCCCCTATCCTACACACTATCTCCTACTCCCTCCGTGAGTACCATTTTTATAAACCTCTTGGAACTGTATTTAGGTAACTGATACACTAAGTCCCCAAAACAACATGAGATTCCACAATATGAAAAATTATTTAAAATGCAATTTCAATCATTAATGATTATGCTAAGCTTAATGTAACCATAATCGCATTTTGTGCCATCTGCCTCTGGTGAGTTTCTCCCTATCTCTAATTTAAGTGGTCCTACTACCAACAAAGATTCTGACATACACGGATTTTCTGGTCCAAAGAATCCTTTGAAGTAATCAAAATACTCCTTGAAACCTCTTAGGTCTATGGCATCTCAAAGGTGACTGCCCTAAGAAAATTCTTTATCACGGACATGTCTGTAATAAAATACATAACAGCAGGCCTGTCTATCTAAACAAGAACAGAAACCCCTGTATGATTAAAACAACAACAACAACAACAAAATCAAGAAAAGAAATAAGATGATTTAAAGGTACCAGCAGGGGGAACAAGCAGAAGAGAATTCACCAGGTTTCTGGTATTATAATTGTAGAGTGTCCAAACCTGATATTAAAGTCAGAGTAATTTTTTTTTTTTTTTACTAATAGAAAAAAACTCAGGTAAACTTAGTTTTCATGAAACTTGATGTCTTAAAATGCAAAGTTACTAGAAGTGTCTTACTAAATGTTACCACTTATGTTATAGATAGACTCTTCCATCAATTTCTACCTTCTATGTAGTTACTTCAGGTTTAATACAATAATAAGGAAAAATATATGAGTTATCGAGTTAATGGGTGCAGCACACCAACATGGCACATGTATATATATGTAACAAACCTGCACATTGTGCACTTGTACACTAAAACTTAAAGTATAATAAAAAAAACTTATTAAACTATCTCCCCCTAAGATTAAAAAAAAAAAAGAGTTTTACCTCAAGAATGGTAATGTTGATGGCTGCTGCTGTTTCCCCTTCTTCTAAAATCAGAAAGCCAATGATAGGGACAAAATCAACTTCTGGCTCTGCTAGGTTTCCTACTGTTTGGTTCTTCAGACTCAGCATTCCAGGAACCGTGGTATATGTGACATTGATAGCTCCTAATTGAATAGGTTGCAAAAATGTTTTATAATTATCTAAATGTTTACAATAATATCCCCTTGTGAATTTTTTGCCTTTCCTAAAAGCACCTTTAGTAGCTAGTATTATTGGTCCCAATTCCTCACCCCTTCCTATATCCATAATCTTTACCATGTGATGGCTCATGGGTGTCTCACTGTGGGAAAAGCATATTTCCCTGCCTCTAGACTTTGAATTTGGATATGTGACTTGTTTTGGCCAATAGAACAAGGTAAAAATGATGATGTGCTGGTTCTAACCCTAGACCTCAGGGGGCCTTACACATTTTCACTTGGTCTTTTGTGCTACCATTTGTTCCCGGAGAAGAATGACAGACATATGGAATAGAGCCACCCATGGCCAAGCCCAGTGTAGATTAGTAGACCCACAGACAGCCTAAATTACTGTATGCTGCTGAAATGTTATGTTTGTTAATTACACAGCATTTCTGTGAAAACAGATAATTCCTTTAATCTTTTCAAAGATAAAGAAGTTATAAAGTTCTGTCCTGAATGAAGAAATATTAATTTTCTCCTGTCCCCGATTTATTTTAGCAATGGCTTTCATCCACACAAGTAGAATATTAATAAGCACTTGCCTGGAAACCCCATTCATTCTAGAGTAACACAAACCTAGAGATCCAAATTCTCTGTTGATGAAAAGCTGAATTGTTATGTTAGCCTCTTGTAGTAACACAAATCTTGATGAAAGAGCAAAATTTAAAACTCCATGTGGTTCATCACTGGCTTCTACTGTGAGGACAGCTGCATATCCTTGAGCATCAAGCAGGGCGATTCCGGCTGGTGGAACTCCTAAAAATGTCAGGCAGGAATCTAACAGTGATTTGGCATTAGCTTTTAATCGCTGGAAACATAGCCTCACTCTCTGAAACATTAAGGTAATCAAAAGTGTTCTATTTACTTCTCTAACAAATCTTCAGGTTAACAAAAGCCACATTCCATTTTTCTTTCAGGTGGAAGATCATGAATTTCTTTACTTCACATATTACTGTCATTATTGGTTATACTGGTTATCAGAATTATAGAAATTGAATAGAAACTGAGGAAAGTACCCAGATAATTTGCTTAAAAATGACTCAATTTGGGCCGGGTGTGGTGGCTCACGCCTGTAATCCCAGCACTTTGGGAGGGCGAGACAGGCGGATCACAAGATCAAGAGATTGAGATCATCCTGGCCAACATGGTGAAACCCCATCTCTACTAAAATACAAAAATTAGCTGGGCATGGTAGTGCATGCCTGTAGTCCCAGCTACTCGGAAGACTGAGGCAGGAGAATCGCTTGAACCCGGGAGGCGGCGGCTGCAGTGAACCGAGATCGCGCCACTGCACTCCAGCCTGGTGACAGAGTGAGACCCTGTCGCAAAAAAAAAAAGACTAAATTTGATTTATCCATATAATTGGTCCAAAATTCAAATTGGCTTGTAAGTCTCAAATTAATTTCAAAAAAATTCTACCTTCGGAAATGAATTTTATTCTGTAAGTAACCATTTAGCAAAACGTTTCAGGGCTTCTTTCCTAGTCTATAAAGATAAGTATTCCCATATGGTGCTAATTTTTTTTGATCTAACATTTCTAGGGGACACATAATAAAGTAACATTTTAAAAATTGGTATGCATCTAATTGTTAAATACAGAGATAACAATTTTCTTTCTTTTACGAAAAGAATATACCAAAAAAAATTAAAATTAAATTCTGAATTACCTTGTGTCCTGACATCATACAGAATGACTTGGTATACTTCTTTCTCCTCAGGAATGTTGTCATCCAACAAATGCACAAACAATGTTGTATTCAACGACCCCTATGTCATACAGAAAGAAATCAATCCCGCTGTCGTTATTGAATATGAACTATCTCCTGCTTTATTTTTATTCACCTTATAAATTGTGCAGGCAAATATATTTTCATTTAAACAAAAGTTCTGTGGCTTAAAAATAAATAAATAAAAACCACTGACACATGGGAACCTAAGCTCCAAGCAGACAGGGGCTAATTGTGGAAGATCTTGAATGCTGAGCTAATGAACATAAATCTTATTTATTGAGCAATGTAACACTATTGGAAATCTCAAAGCACAAAGTTGGAGAGGTTTCTACAACAATGGTGAGTAGAAAAAACTGGAGCAGAGAAAAGAAGACAAGTGCTGCAGGGACACTAGTCATTAAAAGTCCAATGTACTACTCAAGGCAGAGGGTAATATTGGCTTGGCTTAATATTGAGGCAATGAGAAGGAAGATAAAAACAATTAAATACATCATCAAAGAATTCATACGAAGTAGGTCTGGAGAAGAGAGAAAGATAATAACTACAATAGTGCTGCTTTTCTATCCCATTTTCCTCAAAATACACCATTCTTTCTAGATATTTGTGATCGACTTTTCTTTGCAGTATTACCTCAGGAAAGAAAAGTTGTCCGCTAAAGTTAGCAAAATTGAGTTCTAGATTTTGCCCAATAATTTTCCAGTTAACAGTAACATTTCCTCGACCAGGGAAAGTTCTTATCACATGGAATTGTAAAATTTCTCCTGCAAGTAAAATGTGTAAATTGATAAATACTTAATGGAAAATAAACTTCACATTTGAACTCAACAAAACCCAAATCCCAAGCATGCAACTATTACAGCACCTTTCCCAAGAACATTACAAAGCTGTTTTGTTTTGAATTTTCTAGAATCTTTATACATGCTTATTGTTTATTATCCCCACTTCTAAATACTTCAATTTAGTAGAACTTGAGGAAATTTAATATGTAAAAGTTACAAAAGCACATGCTAAAATGGGAAACACAAACTTTTATACACTCCAAAACATGCACCAGAACATAAGTGTTCTGTAAATTAAAGAAAATAATAAAGTCCTCATGATAGTAACACAAGTAAATTCTTCCTTCACTTTTCAAAAGGGCACAAATCCTTACACTGATATGCAATGTGATTTTACACAATGCATGCATAAAAATGCTTGCAAATACCTGAAAATCACATTTCTTTAGTTGTAACTTACATATACCATCAATGATTTTGTATTATAAAAAGAAATACAAAGGAAAGGTGTCAAATCTGTACATCAACATCTGTAACTTTGCCAAAGTTACAGTTATCCTTCCTGGATAATGGAGATATTTTAGATCTCTTCTATTCCTGGCTTTTTTCCCCATATAATACTTCACAAAAGTGAAGAAAATCATAACATGTCTTTCAAATTGCTAAAAGCATAAAGTAAGCTGTTAGGGAGCGTGCTAATGGCCATATGACTTGTTGAAAATATGCTCAATTCACTAGCTTTATATGATGATGAACACAACTAAGAAATACCAATGAACTGTATCACTAAAAAATTATTATTATGCAAGGATAGAATGATGTTTAAAAAGATTTAGAAGACGACATCCTTAATCAAACTGTATAGCATAGACATATAGTTAAAAACCACAAACATTCACTAAAAATGTCACTTTTAGTTAGTTTTAGTTCAGTTAGCTATCCAAGTAACTTTTGTGTATATAAGTAATATCTTCAAACATTTTTTAAAAAGTAGAAATAAAGCAATAAACTTTAAACACTATTTTCAAGTATTTTTTAAACCGCCACATTTTTTATTTCTGAAGACAACTAAACAAATATTTCTTATAGGAAGATTTCTTAAAATATCATGAATTAATTAATTTAGAGACCATCTTAATTTCAATTTAAAAACAAAATAATTTTTCATACTAAATTTAAACACAATTTTAACAAAATGAACATTTTAAGGAGAGTGGATAATATAAACAAAAGCATTAGAAAGGCTTCTTAAAACACATTTTAAGTGTGTCAATACAAAAAAAATTAGTTACCTTTACATTAGTAGACTATGTCTTAGTTTTATCTTTTAAAAGCACAGGAATTTCTAGATCAGATTGTCCAAAGATTGGGATGAAAATGAAGGACTATGTATAGTCAGCCATTGCTAGCATACCATTTAAAAATTTTGTATTTGTAAAACTTGTGAACAAAATATAGACACTACTGTGAAACTCTGGTGTCTCTCTATTGTACAATATATAGAATTTCTTATAGAGCAAGTTTGGAATATTGAAAAACAAAAATTTATTACTAAAAAGCATAGAAAAATCTTTGAAGTTATTAAGCTATTTCACCTACAGTGTTGTCTGGTGACTCTTTCATAAGAGTCATGGTTTTCAAACTTTTCAAATCACAAAATTTGTTAATGGTTCAAAAAGAAAATTATGGAAGTTTAATGAAGTACTAAAGTGCAAAGAGAACACAAATGGCAAGAAAACAAAATGCAGGTCAAAAAATTTCCATGTTGAAGGGTAATCTATAATCACAATAATAAAATTGCAGTTGCAAGTTTAGACACAGAGATTTGGGCATAAATACATCATTTTTAGGTAAAAGTAAAAATAAAATGCTTAGGAGAAAAGAAAGTAAAATATTCAGACAAACTTACTACATGTAAAAACACTAAAAGTCTAATACTAGTTCATCAATATCCCCTCTGAAAATTTAAAAAGTTACTATGAAAGTAACTTGCAAGAAAATACTGCAAAAATATAATTTGAAGTATGATACACACACACATATACACAAACACATGCGCACACACACGCACATAGAGAAGCACATATAAATAAAAGATAAATGAAATATTTCTTAAACACATAATCTTGTAAGCCTAGTGAAAATGTATCATGTCAACAGCAAGAATAGTGTGAAATTTTTTCTAAGCAATAATCAAAAGGGAGGTATTTATTCTGTCTCTTTATTGCAGACTCCCAGGAGCCAGGTCCATTTAAAATGCCTCCTGGAAAAAATGACTGGACATATCAGAAAGATACCTTCTGCCAGGATGAAAAGTCAAACAGTCACAGGAAAATGAAAAACTTAAAAATAAGTGCTTAGCCTTCCAAATTTAAGGGAAAAGACAGAAGAAAAGTCTTAAGAGAGAGTATGTTATTTTTAGATGACAAAGACTTTACTAGGTACTAAACAGCCTTCTAGTTTTTGCCCAAGATGAAAGGCAGAACAACCCTTACATAACAAAGTGTCTGACTACATAACTGGACGATCATCTTGATACGAAATCCAGAGTTTACCAAAAGTTAGTGACATATTTCAACTCTAAAGCAGATCTGTTACATGGTGTCTAGGACTAACCTAATGCAGATAAAGAATATGAATGAAGAATGCATTTTAATAAACCTAAGTGTTTTAGACACTTATTTTCAAGACCAGAATTCTTTTTACAAAGATAAACACCAACTACAATGTACATAAAACTAATGGAAAACCAAAATACAGAAAATATATTTAATAGATTCGTGTATACATGACATACATATACTATCCAAATTGCCCTCTATAACAAAAAAGAAAACGGGATAAAACAATTATAGGAATATGAATAATGTGAAGCAGACTGTCAAAAAGAACAGTTAAGAAAAAGTTGAGTGTTTCCAGTAGAGCGGTTCTATATATTTCTTTAAAGAATCACATTTCTTGCTCAAATCTTTGTGTAAAAAAGATTCACGCTGTCCCTAAGAGAAGAAAAAATTTAAAATCCATCGAACATGACATGATGATTATGCTGCTGCTCAGCTGGGTGACTGAGAGAAACACCTAGCACAGATTTATAAAGAGCACATTTATACCCAGTGTGCAACCACAGTAAAATCCATTGTCCCATATTTCTAAATTCTGTCCATTACATTTGAAAGAAAGTAATATTTACCACTGGGCAGCTCTCCAACTGCATTAGGACAAAATGTAGAAATAGGATTCTACAGAATTCAATACATTGTTAGAGACTAAGGCAATTCCTCCCATGAATCAAAAATGCATTCTAGAGCCAGAAGTTCAGCATAGTCCACATTTTAAATCTAATCACATAAATGAAACTCCAACACTAGGCTAAAAGCAACGTTAACACTGTTAAAAGCTCACATGGCACAATTATTTTCACCCCATTTGTTTAGCGGTTATCTCTGAAGAATCACCATGATGTTTTCATTAATTCACTTTCATAAAATCATCATGATACACATTTCTCTGTGCAATTTTCATGGTAATATAAAGCATACACAAAATACTGAACTATTGTGGCTTAATATGTTTTTGAAAAAAATAATTTATAATCTAGGAAAAGGCTTAGGAATGAAGAGAAAAAAGTAAGTAAAAAATAGAAATTGACTCCAACTTTTATGTAGAAAACATAAAAAATCTAGGGAGCACTCATGCCAGCAAGAAAAGCAATTTGGTGTTTTAGATTGATATGCTAAAGCAGATTTTTAACCAATAACACCTTTGGACCATTTATTTTAATTAATAATCTTTCCTCTTTGCCTCTCCTGCAGATAATTAGCTGTTGGAAACTGACGAGGCTACAATATTGTTTTCAGGTGAAGTTCATCTGGGCCAAACAGACTGTAGGTGTTCATATCTGCAGTTTCTCCAAGATGTTGTGGTACCCAGCAGGAGGGCCTCCGTGTCTTCAGAGCCCTCCAACTCACCACTAGCACCACCATCCAGGCTCATAGGATGCACTTTCACAACATTAGTGGCCCTACAGTTAAAATTCATTAAATTGATCCTAGACATCCAAATTGTTTTGTATTCCTTAGAAAAGAAATTTCATCACACTGCTGAAAAGTGCATGCCTAGTATAGCTCTAAGTCCCTCCTTAAATCTCGTCTATCCTTTCCTGATCTCAGCTCTTGTTTGTACCTTCCATACCACTAATACTTTGATTCTCTTTTCCTTCCCCCTATTTCTTCAACAAAACAAATCCAAAATGCTCCCGTCATCTGTTCTATCCAATGCTTCTCCTCTCCTTGCTGTTATAGCCAATAAGCAGTGCTTCTCAAAACTTCATGCTGTGAAGGACAGGGATTTGTGTTTTGTTTTGTTTGCCTTAATCCATTAGAGGCTGACCCTCTTATAAAACAGAATAAAATAAATGACTAGATAAGTTAAATAGCAAAAAACTAACGCAAACAAAAAAGACATACAAAATACCAGCCCATAGATACTGCTTTTGGATATCACAGCAAAGTGAAATTGTTAAAAGAGTTTCCAATCCTCTTGTCACAGACCAGAAGCAAACACTGAACAGGCAGCCTCCTGAAAGCCACATTGAGGAGGAACCCCTGAAGACCTCTATGTTTGTCATCCTTAGATATTTGCTTCCTATCCCCAATACTCCTTTAAAATTCATCTACCATTGCCACTGTTTTATTTGGCCCATTTGAGATCTAACTCCCCTTTTTGGCCATGTTAGTATGAGACACACTGATTACTGATTACTCACTGATTACGGAGTAATCAGTGTAACTGATTGAAAACACACTCTCTCCCTGGTTTCTCCCTGCCTCTCCAGCAAAGGCTTCTCTCTCCTCTCAGGTAATTTTTTCTTTCCCAGCACCTTAGTCTGATGTTCTTCATGGTTCCATTCCGATAATTTGCTTTTTTTTCCTCTGTCCACAAAAGTCATCATATTCATTTTCCAGATTTCAGCTATCATCTTTAACCAATGTCCATCTTTAACCTGAAACAGAGTCAGGTTCTCTCACTAATTTCCTTCCCTCACACAGGCACTGCTACTCAAATTCATTATGCTTCCAACTCAAATAACTTCAAATATTTACCAAAAGTCCCTGCATTGCCAGGTTCTGCAGCAGACGTGAGTTCAAGCAAAACAAAGTCTCTCCTCACTAGGTGCCCTATATAGCATGGGCTTTGGATTTGACACAGCTGGGCATAAGCACTACCACTGAATAATTGTTGCTATTTAGTCTCTCTCAAATTCAGTTTCCTTGTATGAAAATCTGGTGTATACAATTATACCTATATCATAGGACTGCTGTTAAACTTAAGTGAAATAATGAAGGTGGAGTGTCTGCCACACAGAAAACACTCCGTAAGTGTTACTGTTGTCATTATTATTAACTATTCCTGCAGTAACTCTGTATTATGTTACAAATAACTTTTTGATAGTTGATGATCTGTCTTTAGGTTAGATTTATGGAATTATTCACTTTTACTCATTACTGCTATGACAACATGCAATTCCAAACCGTTAATAAAAGTAGAGTACTGAAAATGGCTCGAATATTTGCATGGATAAATAAACTTGCAAGTTGGAAGTACAGTAAGGGAAAAGGTAATACAGTAAAATACATTCTGTTTCTGGCACAGCCACTAACCATCTGACACTGTCAAGTCTTTTAATCTCTCTATGTCTCAATTTGTTTTCTCATCTATTAAATAGATGTCCAAGTACACAATCTATATCCTTTTCATTTATTAACTATTCAAGGTAAAATTATTTTTTTAATTCCAGATAAACTATGTAATGAAACACAGGCTACCAATACCTATTTACCCCAAAACAGGCTTACTCGAAGACAAAAACACTGTTATGTTTTAAACACACAAAAATTAGCCCATCTATGCAAAACCCTACATATGATGTAAAATATTAAGTAAGAATTCAAGAAAATTACTGTTTTTTAAGGAAAAAAAGAAATTTTATAAGGTTTGGCACTTTGTTCATAAAATGTACAAACACAATATAAAATCCAGGCTAAAATATTCACTGATTACAAACTATTACTTGTTTTTAACCGGTTACCAATGTTTCACTGTTTGATACCAACAGCTACCCTTGGGCATACGCTATACTTGCCAGGAACTATGCTAAGCACTTTACCTTTATTAGCTCATTTAATCCTCACAAAGAAACCTATGAAGTAATATTTTGAATCATTTAACAAATGGGAAAACTAAGCATTTCAGGTTTAACTTCCTTAAAATCATACCAGTAGAGAATGGCAAGCTAGAACATGGTATTGGTTTGCAAGGCTCCTAAATCTGGCTAAACAGTTCATTATAAAGCCTTCTCCCAAAGAAGTTCTATGCAGATTAACACACACACAGTTCAACAAAATAATGAAAGGGAAAAACTATCAAGTTTTAAAGAACTAGACAAAAGACAACATCCATAGAAAAGAAAATGAATATGCTTAACAAAAAAAGGAACCCACCTTCATGACCTATGACAGATCTGGAAGCTGTCTGAAAGCTAACAATTCCTGCCACATTGTCATTGGCCAAAATGTTCACTCTAACAGTGTCGGAGCTTGGCAAAATTCTACTTCCACCTTCAGTGTACACCAAACTAACTATGATACTTTCGTCATCCTCTGGTTCAGAGTCATCCAAGATGGTTAAAATGACTGTCTTTTTGGTTTCACCTATAAAAACATCAATGGAATAAAAACCAAAGTAACAAAATCACCAACACAGAGAACTCAGAAAGGCCCAAAATAATTTCTATGTTTAAAAGTTAAATAAAAATATGAGTGAATTATAACAGTTCCATATCATGGGCAACATAAGCAAATTTTAATTATATATATATATATCTTTTCACATATCAAACACTGTAAAATTTCATTAATGAAGACAGATTGTGGAGAAGGACATTTTGAATTATGGGAAAGTTAAAAGGTAGAATTGTTTCAAAGAATCATGGCTTTACTTCCTGGTTGTTAGCCAAGAACAGTGACCTAGCTAGGAAAAGAGCTCCAAAGATATCCTGTTTAGAAACAACTCCCTTTAGGAAAGTGGAGTCTCATTCTCATTCTGGCATTACTGTGATAATTTTAATCAGATATCAACACAATACCTTCCTGAAAAACCAGGAACACTTAGGGAATCGTGGTCAAAATGAGGAACTAAAAAGGGATGTCAAATTCTGAGCAAAAGAACCAGCCTAAATGAGATGCATCTTTGAGTAACTCGATGAGATGACAGCATCAAGTACCAGTCTCCAGGAAGTAGTGCAATGAAGGAAGAAAACAAAAGAGGAACTCAAAGGGACAAGTGACAGCAACAAAAGTCCAAGCAATCTACTTTGCAATTTGATCTAGTAGATAGGGCACCACAGAATGTCCCTAAATCCAATACTTTCTGCCATTCAGCCTAAGGTGTCCCCTATTTATTTTCTCCCCACTTTCTGGAGAGACAATGAAGGAGTGGGAAAAGAAAAGGCAGGGAAAAGGAGAAAGGAGATTAAATGCATGTTCTCTCTTTTGTGACCCTGCTGCATTTTCATCAATACAGCAGTGTCAAGATTGCTTTAAGAGAGTCTGCATTATCTAAGAATCTAAGTTAGCAATAGAGTCCATTTTGTGTGATGCTAAGGTTATAATTCATGGTAATGGTAATTTATATAATGCTATTTCTTTATATATAACTTTCTTTGTAGTTAACATAACCACTGGAAAAATCCAACTTTATATTTTCATTTCCACTCCCTCCTCGTCACATTTTCATTATTCCTTTTGAAATAGAAAAGTTACCAATTACTAACCTGTTCCCATCTTCCGTCAAGCATATCATATCCCACTAAATCCTCAAATCACTGACTAGAAAATAACCATAATAAAAATATTTTATACAATTTTTAAAATTTACTCTAAAACATAATGATTATTATGTGTTTCAAAAAGCGTATTACATATGTACCATGACCTCTAATTAGTTTCCAAAAAAAAGTATATGCCTTAAAAAGTTAAACAACAAATACAATGGATTGTTCTAAAATATAGAATTAGGAACAAAGTTTCTTTCCTGCATTTTGTTGTATATTTTGAGGTTTTTAGAGTATACATTACTTTTTCAACCAGAAAAGCACTATGTTTTTTAAAATTTTGTGGAATATATAACTGCCCAAATGAGGATGTAATCAATAATCTCAATAAAGATACCTGTCCCACACCCAGAGAAAACTATTTTAAACATACTAACTTTCCCAATTTTAAATAGCACACGAGTCAACCAGTCCTGAAAAAGAACCACTCAATCTGATCCTAATTCTAATTAGCTGATCATGTAAAATATCAGTATATTGTTTATGAAATTTTACAATAGTGATCTCAAGTGTAGGAACAGTATTATAAATTTATCATTAGGATTAATGTAATATAAATGCAGTCACCAAAGTTTATGCTACTTTTACTTACAAATAATTTTCTCTGATGATATTTCCTGATTTGTCTAGTGCATATGAAAATGTTTATCAATTAATACTCATTTTCCTAGCTACCACTGCTTCTTACCAACATGTATGGTTGTAAGTACATGGGTCATTATTAAAATTTCCCTTACAAAATTAGAACTTGCCTTATAGTTTCCTCTGTGCTTTGTCAAAGACACTACTATCAAACATAAAGGGATAAAATTCACATATTCCCGGAAAATCTATTTTTTAAACTAAAAAGATATATATGTACAGTCATGTCAGTCTATGTATGTCATGTCAACCATTAACAAGCCAATTAACTTCTATTTTTTTCTAAAGCCAAACTACATTTCTGTATATTAACAAGAATGTACACAGTAAGAATTCTTATAAATTTTATCATAAAAATGGACTATGATGACTTTACTGGGGCAACGGAAATTCATTTAGAACCATTGCTCACCTTCAGCAAAGGTCAGAATCTCTCCAGCACCTATAAAATCTAAACCTTCAGTAGCTGTTCCACCAACAACACGCCATTCGACTGCCACTTGACCTAAGCTGCCCCCTGTCCTGTGTATCATCAGCTCCACCAAGGTTTGGGGCTGCTCCTGAACTTCAACAAATAAGCCATCTTCGGAAGTATTGGGACTAATATTGTAGATCACAAACACTCCAAAGGCATCACCATTTAGTGCTATGACAACTGTAGAAATATTTGGCTGTCCTATGGTTGGCTGATTTTTCAAACTGGCTGAAATGTTCATGAGGTGAACTTCAAGGAGAGAAATTAGAAAACTCTCATCCATCTCTGGGAAATCATCAGGAAGAATAGACACTGTGAGATTTGCGAATTCATCACCTTCCTGCATTATGGCCCATTGCCTTGTCACAGGCTCATAGTCACTCCCAGCCACAGCCTGACCACTAAAAAGAGATGCTACCCTGGTCATGTTTTTCCTGTAGGTCCAGAAGTCTGAATTGTTGACAGCTGGGCTGATCCATGATGTCATCCAGAAACACTGGGGACCCTCAGAAGCACTGAAAAATGAAAACGCTGAGCAAGCTTGTTCCTTAAGGCACAAAGTGGCACAGGTATACAGGGGCTCCCCCACGGCAGAGACATTCATCCAAGTTCTCCAAAGTGGGTCAGGCACCCCTTGAATTGGAGATTCATAGTAGGACAGTAAATCTTGACCTTCCTCCATTGCCAGAGCCACTACATCAATGTCGGAAGTACTGTAGAACAACAACAGCCGACCAAAGTGCCCTCCGCTAAAATGTGGAGTGACAATTAAAAGACAGGTTAAGCACTCAAAGTAATTACAAATAGAGAAGAGGAATGCTGACTGTGGTCTTTAGTTTTTTAAAAAAATGTTTAAAGTCATAGTACAAACACAATCCTGTTTCTTAATTACACTTGTCTCCCAACATTTTGTTTTCTCCTGTGAGGAAACCTTGCTAATTTTCAATCAAACAACACTTATTTTTAACCAAGCTATGAAAATATTTTCCAAGGTATGCAAATTCAGGGTTTCAAAACAAAATTACAAAGTTAATTTTTATTGCTTTACTTAACTGAAACAAAGTAACAATGATAACAAACATGACTACATTTTGAGGAAATGTAGTAACAGTCAGCCCTCCCTATCCACAGGTTCTACATCTGTGGATTCAAGACCGCAGATCAAAAATATTCAGAAAAAAAAAAATTTAAAAAATACAAACTTTAAAAACCAGTCCAGTATAGCAACTATTTATATAGCATTTACATTGTATTAGGTATTATAAGTAATCTAGAGATGATTTAAAGTATATGGATGACTGTGCATAGGTTATATGCAAATATTATATTTTACACCACTTTATATTAAAGGGGAGCATCCAAGGATTTTGTTATATCCAAGGACCTGCAATCAATTCCCTGTGGATACCAGGGACTTGTCACAAGTTCCCAAGATCCTGTTTTCTATTTCTGAAGGAGCTCAGTGAGCCCAATGCTGCCTCACAAAAAAAGAAAAAAAAAACAGACCTGGAAATCAGCTCCTTCATACATCATACAAATGCTCTTTAATTTAAAAGCCAGTTATATTTAAGTACTAATTGTAACAAATTACAGATTAGAGCAATGCATTTCTGGGGTTAGAGAGCTCAGTGATGTAAAATTTATTACCCATTTCACTAACAATAGGTATGATAAATGAAAGGCCCTTTATACTAATAAGCATAATTCAGTTAACACATTAAAATAACCTATAAAATAATTTATGGCATAGAAAAAACCACAAAACCTAAATGATTTAACTGTGCAAGGGATCCTTCCCCACCACCCCACAATTCTCATCACTCCCACAGAGGCAAGTAGCTATCTCATATACCTTCGCCTGACAGTTATATTAGCACAGGAACTTCTTTCCAGAGGCTCTTGAACACGATAAACCATCTGAGCAAAGGCTACTGTACCATAAGGATCATCATTGGCAGGAATAATAATATTTGCAATTCGATCTAACCCAATAGTACCTCCACCAGAGGCATCAGTTAGTTGCACTTGGATAACCTAAAAATACAGTGAAAACTTCCTTAACAGCATCACAGTTCTGAAATTAGAATAAAAATGATTCAAGGGAAAAAAATCAAACATATACATACAAGTACAAGAACAAAATGGAATGAAATATAAATGGACTAAAAGAACTCCCCAATTACACTTACAAACCCAGCATGTAACAGAATAACCCATCATCAACATTTAATAACAGAACCTAGTTATATATAAGACATACAGGCTGTTTAAACTCCTTAATATTGTTATATAATCATGTGACTCAATTTTAATATCCCTGTTTATGTTTACCATTTCAATAATAGTACTTTTACGTCCTATAACTTTTTTAAAAAAAATCTGAAATATACATTTTAATGGAGCGTTAATATACTATGCTTTATTTCCCACATTATCTTAAATAAAATTATTTGACAAAATTTAAAACAAAAACATACTGTAATGCCACCTAAATTTAGAGAGAAAAAAACAGAAATGTTTTTTATGTGCTAATGAATATCTAATATTTTAGAAGTGAAAAATGGCACAATTAGCATTCAAAATAAATTTTATGAACTTGTATAAAATTTTATACTATTAAAGAATAAATGCTATCAAAAGTAATTTTATGAGATCTAAATGTTAATACTTGAATTTCATACAATAAAATTATCTTCAGCCAATGTATGTTAGTGATTAACTTTTCCACTGATACTGTACTTATATTTGCTACCTTGCTGCTTCATCAGGAAAAGGAAATATCAAGAAGATGCATCTCGCATGCTATTTTTCATATAGTAAGTTCTCAACAATGGTTGAAGAATAAGTGAATGAATGAATGAATGAATGAAAAACCACAATAATACTTAAGATTGACTGGCTCACACCCAAGCCAAAAGGGAGTATAAATATAAGTTAAGAGTTTATACAGAACAGGCTGGGCACGTTGGCTCATGCTTGTAATCCCAGCACTTTGGGAGGCTGAGGCAGGTGGATCACCTGAGGTCAGGAGTTCGAGACCAGCCTAGCCAACACTGTGAAACTCCGTTTCTATTAAAAATACAAAAATTAGCCAGGCATGGTGGCATGTGCCTGTAATCCCAGCTACTCGGAAGGCTGAGGCAGGAGAATCCCTTAAACCCAGGAAGCATAGGTTGCAGTGAGCCAAGATCATGCCACTGCCCTCCAGCCTGGGCGACAAGCGTAAAACTCCATCTCAAAAAAAAAAAAAAAAAGAAAAAAGTTTATACAGAGCAAATGTATTATAAATTAAGACTATATATGTGTATATACATATATATATATGTATTTAACCTTTTAACCAAAATGTTGAACAATGCAAGTTAATTGTACAAAAAAGTCTTATAGTAGTAAACTGGCATATGTATACAATCTATTTCTAGAATATTCCTGCTTTTGTCAACTGTAAGGATCACTTTCACACTAGCATAGTTTGAACATTCTTGCAGGAATAATTTATTTGACATCCTCTCCAAAATGTTACAATGGCCATCTGTTCTAGTCACTATAGATACGGTATGATTTACAGTGTCATTCTATACTAGCCAGTCCTCTCACCTCTTCAATCTCCGGAACGTCGTCAGCCAGGACCTCTAACAACAAGGTTTGAATGGTTTCCCCAGGGGCAAAGGTCACATTACCTGAGACAACTCGCAGGTCGCCAGTAGCAAGCTGTCCATTAATGGTGGCAACCCACTGAACAGTAACATTGCCGAGTGTCCCAGAATTTCGAATTATTGGCAGGTTTACCTTCACTGAGTTAAACTCAGGTTCCTCTACAATAAGTTTAGTAATCTGAAAACCTGAAGGGTAGACAGAGCAGAGTTCATTTCAAATACAAAGTGAAACAGAGATAACAGTTAACCAAGCACCATCCTATAGTGGATTCTCTTCCCCCCTAAGCAATCTAAGTAGCTATAACCCACAAAAACCAGAGTAACATGCTGTGATACAAATTGGTCTGCTCTGCCAAAATTTCCAAATTATTTTTCACTGTGATAGAAGTAGAAACCACAAAGCCCATAGGGCTCAAGTCTATACCAGACATGAGTGACAGGTCCAGTGAGCACAGAAGCTGATTGCACAGTGCAAGCCTGCTCCAGAGGGGCAGTTGCTATTTGGTTCCCATGACTGATGTTATGCAGGAAAGGGAACTTGATATTGCCACATTTCCTATTTATCAAGAAAGCCCAGAAATCCAAATTTTTGTGTAAATTTCTATAAATTAAATTATTTTTCTAAAGAATTGCCTAAGACTCACAAAACACATATAGGAGCCAGGTCACACCCTAAAGCCAATAGTTCGTGACTTCTCCACATATGCTAAGAGATTGATTTAATTTCTTTTTTAAACAATCACTAACAACTGCCAATAACTGTGTACAGATGTCCTATATGTCAGTAACAGCAGGTTAAGAAAGAAAGCATGATCAGATCAATTCTGAGTCTCCAAAAGTAAAGATCATTATCTATGATCTATACATGCAGACAAGTCAAAGAGAGACATAAATTAGTCTTCATACCAAATAATCCATAGGGGTCATCAGAGGCCTCAATAATAATGACTGCCTCTGTTAAAGCCCCTAGTCTGGCTCCTCCTGTTGTTTCATTCATCAGTTGCACAAGAAAAGATTCTTCCAGTTCAGGATAGATATCATTAATGACATATATTGGCACGGCTTTACTGGTTTCCCCTTCTAGCAAGACCACATCTGATGAAGCTATACTATAATCTTCACCTGAAAAGACCAAAAGTAAAATGTTAAGACTTCTAAAATATGATCAAAACATTCCATATACTAGGGAAAAACTATCAGGTAACAAACTTTATGGATCTACTTGGAAATACTTTTTTGAGGATATTGACTACATTTATTCTAAGCAAGAAGACTTTTATGCCTCTCAGTAGAAAAATGGGTTTGATAATGTCACAAAATAACGAAAAAGACTTCCTAGGGGTGCTCAAGTTCATTCCTTCACTTTCAGAAAGATGTATATCTATTTGGTCTATTTATATAAATAGAGAATCATTCATTACAAGATAGGCCCCCTTAACTACAAGAAAAAAATGTGTACTTTTAGAAAAAAGAACAGAAATAGAATTGTAATGCCACTGGAAAGATAAATTATACCACTGCACAGATATGGGAACGCTAGCATCATCAATGATACAGCTGGACATGAAAAGACTTTCTTGCATAGATTGAAAGCCGCTACTGAGTACTGCTCAGGATGGCAGGAGAGAAAAAAAAAAAAAAAAAAAAAAAGGTGGGTGGGGAAAGGAGGGGTGCTTCATGTGAAGACTGAGGACTAATGTCTTAGTACACTAACCAATCCCCACCATCTGTCAGTGTGTGAGGCCCTCTACAGGCAGCCAGGTATTCCTAGGAGCTACCCCAGCCTACACCAGTTAGGTATTAGATGGGCCTGGTTTATTGTCTTTTCAAGCAAGTATTATGGCCAGATGATTTATTTTTTTAAATCAAGCACAGTATCCCATCCATTCACATTCCTGTTCCTCTGAAAGCACACTAGAAAGATTCGAATTGAATAGTTCTCAGGCAAATCTCCCTCTGGATGCTGGGACGGCACTATCAAAGTAGGCAGTCTTCTTATATATACATCTGGCAATGAAGTCATTTTCTTATATATAAAATAGTTAATACTAACTGTTGCCTCTTCCTTGCTCTTCACAAATAAATAAGCAAGAAGATAAAGGGATCCAGAGACAAGACTGTTGCCAAGCACTGAAAGCATGTAGCTGCCCATTTTCCCTGCATTCCTCAGTAGTCATTTACAAGTGAATCCCTTTCAAAAATGAGGAGTACACTCAGAGAAAACCAGTGTTTTCCTCAGTTTACTTTTCATTGATTTGTGCATATTTTGGTCATCATAGCTTTCAAATTCATAGATAATTTGGCCAAAACTTTTTGCAAAGTCTACAAGCTCAGTGCCATAAATATATAAAAACTCTACCAGCACTTTGGGAGGCCAAGGTGGGCGGATCATGAGGTCAAGAGATCGAGACCATCCTGGCCAACATGGTAAAATCCCATCTCTACTAAAAAATACAAAAATTAGCTGGGCATGGTGGCACACGCTTGTAGTCCCAGCTACCCGGAAGGCTGAGGCAGGAGAATCTTGAACCCGGGAGGCGGACATTGCAGTGAGCCAAGATCACACCACTGCACTCCACCCTGGGTGACAGAGCAAGACTCCATCTCAAAACAAAACAAAACAAAATTGTAAAATCAACATATGGCTAGCCAGTTTTCCCAGCACCATTTATTAAATAGGGAATCCTTTCCCCATTGCTGTTTTTCTCAGGTTTGTCAAAGATCAGATAGTTGTAGATATGCGGCGTTATTTCTGAGGGCTCTGTTCTGTTCCATTGATCTATATCTCTGTTTTGGTACCAGTACCATGCTGTTTTGGTTACTGTAGCCTTGTAGTATAGTTTGAGGTCAGGTAGCGTGATGCCTCCAGCTTTGTTCTTTTGGCTTAGGATTGACTCGGCGATGCGGGCTCTTTTTTGGTTCCATATGAACTTTAAAGTAGTTTTTTCCAATTCTGTGAAGTCATTGGTAGCTTGATGGGGATGGCATTGAATCTATAAATTACCTTGAGCAGTATGGCCATTTTCACGATATTGATTCTTCCTACCCATGAGCATGGAATGTTCTTCCACTTGTTTGTATCCTCTTTTATTTCGTTGAGCAGTGGTTTGTAGTTCTCCTTGAAGAGGTCCTTCACGTCCCTTGTAAGTTGGATTCCTAGGTATTTTATTCTCTTTGAAGCAATTGTGAATGGGAGTTCACTCATGATTTGGCTCTCTGTTTGTCTGTTATTGGTGTATAAGAGTGCTTGTGACTTCTGTACATTGATTTTGTATCCTGAGACTTTGCTGAAGTTGCTTATCAGCTTAAGGAGATTTTGCGCTGAGACAATGGGATTTTCTAGATATACAATCATGTCATCTGCAAACAGGGACAATTTGACTTCCTCTTTTCCTAACTGAATACCCTTTATGTCATTCTCCTGCCTAATTGCCCTGGCCAGAACTTCCAACACTATGTTGAATACGAGTGGTGAGAGAGGGCATCCCTGTCTTGTGCCAGTTTTCAAAGGGAATGCTTCCAGTTTTTGCCCATTCAGAAAAACTGACTAGCCATATGTAGAAAGCTGAAACTGGATCCCTTCCTTACACCTTATACAACAATTAATTCAAGATGGATTAAAGACTTAAACGTTAGACCTAAAACCATAAAAACCCTAGAAGAAAGCCTAGGCATTACCATTCAGGACATAGGCATGGGCAAGGACTTCATGTCTAAAACACCAAAAGCAATGGCAACAAAAGCCAAAATTGACAAATGGGATCTAATTAAACTAAAGAGCTTCTGCACAGCAAAAGTAAGTACCATCACAGTGAACAGGCAACTTACAAAATGTGAGAAAATTTTCGCAACCTACTCATCTGACAAAGGGCTAATATCCAGAATCTACAATGAACTCAAACAAATTTACAAGAAAAAAACAACCCCATCAAAAAGTGGGCAAAGGACATGAACAGACACTTCTCAAAAGAAGACATTTATGCAGCCAAAAAACACATGAAGAAATGCTCATCATCACTGGCCGTCAGAGAAATGCAAATCAAAACCACAATGAGATACCATCTCACACCAGTTAGAATGGCAGCCATTAAAAAGTCAGGAAACAACAGGTGCTGGAGAGGATGTGGAGAAATAGGAACACTTTTACACTGTTGGTGGGACTGTAAACTAGTTCAACCATTGTGGAAGTCAGCGTGGCGATTCCTCAGGGATCTAGAACTAGAAATACCATCTGACCCAGCCATCCCATTACTGAGTATATACCCAAAGGACTATAAATCATGCAGCTATAAAGACACATGCACACGTATGTTTATTGCGGCACTATTCACAATAGCAAAGGCTTGGAACCAACCCAAATGTCCAACAATGATAGACTGGATTAAGAAAATGTGGCACATATACACCATGGAATACTATGCAGCCATAAAAAATGATGAGTTCATGTCCTTTGTAGGGACATGGATGAAATTGGAAATCATCATTCTCAGTAAACTATCACAAGAACAAAAAACCAAACACTGCATATTCTCACTCATAGGTGGGAAGTGAACAATGAGAACACATGGACACAGAAAGGGGAACATCACACTCTGGGGACTGTTGTGGGGTGTGGGGAGCGGGGAGGGATAGCTTTAGGAGATATACCTAATGCCAAATGATGAGTTAATGGGTGCAGCACACCAGCATGGCACATGTATACATATGTAACTAACCTGCACGTTGTGCACATGTACCCTAAAACTTAAAGTATAATAATAATAAAATAAAAATAAAAATAAAAAAATTGTAAAATCAAGCGAGACTCCATCCCCCCCCCCAAAAAAAAAGACTCTAGATTTGTCCCTTGAAAAAGATACAAGAGTATTTCTAGTTTTCTAGTTGATTATCCTAATTGCAACTTTGAGAGGCTGTGTTAATCAAGGATACATGTCCCTCTGTGCTTACATCCCTCTGTATGTACTGCTTTTTAGATGTCTTTTCTTACCAGCTATTGCAGTTATTGGCACAGCTTTAAACTTCACAGAGACATCTGCAAATGCTCCTCCTGTTCTAGTCACATTGATAATGGGTCCAACATGATTTTCTGCCACTCGGACAATTGGTGCTGAGAGCTGAAGAGTTCCAAATGCATCATCATTGGCAATGATAATTAGTTGCGCAATAGTTTCTACCTTAGGCCCAAGACGTGGAGAATTTGGAACTGAAAGACAGAAGATCCACACAGAACACAGAAAGCTATCAAAATTCTAAGAACTGGCCAAAAGTCATCAAGAAACCTCAGCAAGATTCCATCAGCCAAATAGGATTCTCATTTGGGGTTTTCCCTCTACTATTTATTTTATTTATTTATTTATTTATTTATTTATTTATTTATTTATTTATAGAGATGGACTCTCTACCACGCAGGCTGGAGTGCTGGAGTGTTGGAGTGTAGTGGCGCCATCTTGGCTCACCACAACCTCCGCTTCCTGAGTTCAAGCAATTCTCCTGCCTCAGCCTCCAGAGTAGCTGGGACTACAGGCACGTGCTGCCATGCCCGGCTAATTTCTTTTATATTTTAGTAGAGATGGGGTTTCACCATGTTGCCCAGGCTGGTCTTGAACTCCTGAGCTCAGGCAATCTGCCTGCCTCGGCCTCCCAAAGTGCTAGGATTACAGGCATAAGCCACCGCGCCCAGCCCTACTATTTATATTTAAGAATATTTAAGAATATGTATTGTTTAATATGCACCAGCATTAATCTAGACATTCGGGATTCAAAAATAAACTAAACAGAATGTCCCTGCTCTAGTGTAGCTTACATTCTAGAGAAATTTTTATTATAGAATTTATAACAAAAGAACAGTTACCTACAGAAATATTTTAATATGTGTTGAAAAGTTATCAAAAAGGAAAAAATCATTAGAGTATAATTAATCATCACTTTACATAATATTACAACAGAATGATGCTCTTCTAATTAGTTCACTGTGCCATTAAAACAAAACTGCATTTCAGTTACAAGATTGAGTAGGAAACTAATTTAGTTCCTTGACCTCAAAAACTAGCTGCAAATCATCATACTCTAAATTACTGCCTCTTTAACCGCTTCGCCTTCTTCCCTGACAAACCTGTTCTGCACGGCCCATTCTTAATTAATACTGTCACTGAACTACTGTGTTACTATGGTCTGAAGGTTTGTGTTCTCCTGCCTCAAAATTCATACATTTAAATCCTAATCCCAGTGGTGATAGTATTAAGAGGTGGAGCCCTTAGGTTAAGGAGGTGAGACGCTTGTAAATGGGGTTAGTCCCCATGTAAAAGAGGCCTGAGAGAGACAGAGACCCCTCAACCCTCCACAAGGCCCAGGAAGCAGACCCTCACCAGGCACTGAATCTGCTGGCACCTTAATCGTGGCACTTCCCAGCCTCCAGAACTATGAGGAAAAATGTCTGTTGTTTCTAAGCCACCCAGTTTATGGCAGTTTGTTACAGCAACCCCAGTGGATGAATCCACTCATCCAGAAATCAGAGGCAGCCTCAAGACTACACCAACCTTGTTATAATAGAGTGTGCTAGATAATTTTAAAGTTCCCATCTTACTTTCTACTGACTTTTAAAACATAATTTCTAAGAAAAAAATGTGTCTGGCTTCCAGTTACCTTACAGGTAAACTGTTGTAAGAGGACATTTTCAAAGTTAGAGTTTACTACTTTTTATAGAATTTTCTATTAAATAAAATTTAAAACTGATTGTTTCAGGATTCTGAGAGCTAATAATAATAATAACACACTAAGGGATACTTACTTGAACGACTCTGTACTTTCGCTACTAAAGTAGAGTTGAGTAGTTCGATAAAGACAGATTCGGACCTTTCTGGCTCATCATCATCCAAAATTGAAATAGCTATTGTTGCCTCACTCTGATTAGCTCCAAAAAGAGCAAATCCAGAAGCTGGTATATAGTCTCTTCCTTGAGTTGCTCTCGCTAAATTAGGTGGAAAATAAGGTGGTTTTTCCATATCATCTAGTGTTGCATATGAGACAAGGACTTTTCCCATGAGGCCTTTCAACCTTATTATTGATAGTGTGATGTTCTGGGTTGCTTCCTCAACTTTAACAGGTCTGTTTTTCTCAGAAAAAATGAATATCCCATATGGATCATCACTAGCCAAAACTGTTAACGTGGCATTAATATGAGCTCCCAAAGAACCACTGGAAACACTGAGGACTGACACAGAGAATGCCTTATCCAGTTCTGGGTCTTCGTCAGGCAATATCTCCACAGTGATATTGGCGCTCGTCTGCCCAATCTCAAATGTGATGTTGCCAGAGGTGAAGGCGAGATCACCATCAGGATCAGAGTCTATGTTCCAATGCAAAGTCACTGGAGACAGAGTTCCATGATGTCTTATAACCTACAAAATACTTAATATTAAAATCTATTAAAAGAGAGATTAAAGCCAGTTACTTAGAGGCTTATAAATACATTAATGATAGCAGCACAATTTTATTTTATATAAGTTCTTCTCCAGACTACAAGACTGCTGCAGGCAGGGGTCATATACTATCCATCTTTGAAGGCCCACAGAGAGTCTTACAAATAGAGGATATTTAAAAAGTGACTATGCCGAGTGCAGTGGCACATGCCTGTAGTCCCAGTTATTCAGGAGACTGAGACAGAAGGGTCCCTGGAGCCCAGGACTTCGAGGCTGCAGTCAGCTATGATGGTGTCACTGCACTCCAGCCTGGGCAACACACCAAGACTCTATCTCTTAAAAAAAATAAATAAAACACAATTGAAATTTCAAAGGCGATTGTTGCATGAAACTATAAATTGATGAAAAAAACGTAGCTTCTATTTAAATTATAACTATTTTTTGTGTATCTTTTATGCCCAATAAATTAAATGTGATTAACAACATATTACATTCAGGCACACTCATAAAATTTTCACACTCACTGCAAAAATGGTATATATTTCATTGCAAGGAATGTATAAATGGTGTTTTTCTGAAAAGTGATCTGTAAAACTCATTTTAAAACAAATCACATTTACTTTTATCTTCAATATTTTATGTAAACAAACTCATCAAAAAACATATTTGACCCAAAGTATAAGAAAATACATTTAAGAAGGAAGATATGCTTTTGTCAATAATATGTTAAGAATGAAAAGTTTAAAAATTTCTCCAAGTAAATCCCAACTAAGAGTAATTTTTATTTATTCTTGAAATATGATGGTTACATCAAAATAAAATTTAGAGACAGTAATTTTATAAAAGTTGATCCTTTCCCTTAACGCTTTTTTTATCTTTCCTGAGTCATTAGTTATCCTTTCTAAGGTGTTGAATTTATCGCACAACAGTTTATTGAAAATCTGCCATAATAGTACAGAAGGATATGTTTGAGTGATATTTCTTCATTATTCGTATGGAAGCTGAGCAAGCAGCTAGCTCCTGTGAGTCACTGAACAATGAATCCTTCCTAATTTCTACTGGAACAAAGCAGAGTAGGTACACAAACACACACATCATATAGAGTTATTGTTATTGCCAGTTCACCCATGTTTTAGATTTTCTTTCCTTATGGGAGAGAGACAGGATAGGATTGCACTTCACCCACTGACATTAGGCACAGCCAGGAGACCTGCTTTGATCAAGGAAGTTAAGTAGAAATGATGTAAATCACTTCCAGAAAGAAGCTATAAGAGCTGGTATGCTGTTCTTCACATCCACATTTCCCTCCGCCAAGAAGATAAAAGCACCTGCTGAGATATAGCCTTGGTGCCTAAAGTGACTAATAATCAGAGCCCCTTGCTAACTTAAGTTGGACATATACATACTACGAATGAAAAACAAATCTTTTCCAGCACTTTGAGAGGCCAAGGCGGGTGGATCACCTGAGGTTGGGAGTTTGAGACCAGACTGACCAACATGGAGAAACCCCGTCTCTACTAAAAATACAAAATTAGCCGGGCGTGGTGGTGCATGCCTGTAATCCCAGCTACTTGGAAGGCTGAAGCAGGAGAATCGCTTGAACCCAGGAGGCGGAGGTTGTGGTGAGCTGAGATCACGCCATTGCACTCCACTGGGCAACAAGAGCGAAACTCCGTCTCGAAAAAAGAAAGAAAGAAAGGAAGGAAGGAAGGAAAGAAGGAAGGGAGGGAGGGACGGAGTGAGGGAGGGAGGGAGGGAGGAAGGCAATTCTTTGTTGTACTAGCCATTGATATTTTAGAGATGTTTGTTACCACAGCCTATCTGAACAAACACAAAAATCTATGTAAGATAAATACTTGTAGTACAGCTCCATTATGTTCCTTAAAGGGTCAAGGATCTTCAGAATTAAACAATGACTCCATGTGCAATACTAAAGACAAAAATAAATGCCAAACGACTGTTTGATCACCAATTTGTATTGCCTGTGCCAATAGGCTCATTCCCCTCAGCCTACACAAAAAAAGGAAAGCATAAAACACACTTTCATAGCACAGTACAGTTTTTAAAACAACAGAAAGTGTCTAGGAATGAAGGAAGAAAAGGTACTCACATTTAATGTAACAGTGCTATACCCATCTTCTGGTTCAGTTCCACTGACAAAGAGTGACTCAGGGCTAAATTCAAATACGCCATGAGCGTGGTCAGAGGCTGCAATTGTCACTAGAATTTGGGAAGCCACTCCTAGACTGGCTGCATGAACAAGTTCCAACAAATAGAAAAAAAAAATGATGATCAGTAATTTACAAATCAAAGAAAAAGCCAAGGAACAACTTTTTGAAAAGAGTCCTTCCATTCATTGAGTACATTCTAATTTGTTTTAGAAAGAAAGGCAGACACAAATGGGTGCCACACATATTCATGCTTTTATGACCTTTCTCTACTTTGGCACCAACGTGATGTACAAGTGCTGCATAAGCACTTGGAGATGAATAAGGAAAACTTGTTTTTCTTTTTCTTCTCTATGAAAGAGAACATTCTTCCACACAGAGTATATGAGGAAGGTCTCCCACGACCTTTCTGACCTCAAAAGAACTTGAGCCAAAATGACTCTTACCTTCATGAAATAATAAGTAGTTTCCCATTCTGGCGGAACAGATTCTTGGTTTCCAACGTGCATGAATCCTAGGCCTATTTTTTCATCATGTGATGATACTATAAATCTATCTCTCCTGATCTTAAATAGTCCCATTCTGTAGCTAAAAAGATGCCATGATCTAAAGCAGCATTTAAGTTTTTCCTAAAAAGTATGTTCAAATTTTATGTTGCATTAATGTCTACAGACTAGAAAATGAACAATTCTAAAAGTAATAGTGTAATTAACTACAGAGGTTGCATTAGGCACTGATGGAAGTTAGGAATGAAGGCAGTGAAATCATGAGTTCTGACACTAAAATATAAAATCTGACATTGTGAAAAAAGAAGGATTTGAGGATTAGAAAATGCTCTTCTTCAAGAAACAAATATTCTAAGTATGCTTTTCATATATGAAAAAAATATTTGAGGTAAAAAGCTGAATCATGTTTGTATATAAATCTACTTCAAAAGGCATCCTCTTTTCAATATCACCTTCAATAATTGCCAACTATCCTTCCATTTATTTTCTTCCTTATTTATTTTTCCCATTTGTTTCTTTCTTTTTTTTTTTTCTTTGATACAGAGTCTTGCTCTGTCACCCAGTCTGGAGTGCAGTGACGCAATCTTGGTTCACTCAACCTCCGCCTCCTGGGTTCAAGAGCCTCCTGGGCTCTTGCCTCAGCCTCCTGAATAGCTGGTATTACAGGCACATGCCACCACGCTTGGCTAATTTTTGTATTTTTAGTAGAAACGGGGTTTTACTATGTTGGTCAGGCTGGTCTGGAACTCCTGAGCTCAGGTGATCAGCCCGCCTCGGTCTCCCAGAGTGCTGGGATTACTCCCCATTTGTTTTGATTACATTTTACATATAAGGATTCATAGTTCTTTTTTGTACAGAGAATAAGTGTGATGTATTTAAAACGAAAATACAAATTTTCTATTGACCTCTTTTTATGTATTCAAAGCTATGTAAAATGTTTCCAAACAACCATTTTTATAAATGACATTCAAGTGAAATTTCTATCACAATTAGAATCAGGAAACTACATTAGGTTCATACAAGAAGGAGAGTCTGGGTTTTGGAAGCAGAAAGGGATGTGATTCTGACTTGATCCCTTACTAGCTGGGTGACTACAACATGAAGGAAATCATACTTCATAAAGTTTCTGTGACAGTTAATAAGATAAAATATGTAAAGGACCTACACATAGTAGGTGTCAATAAGTGGTTAGTATTGTCTCTAAAATGAGAAGTTAAAATAAAAACCTATAATAGTAAAGGACCTTGGAAAAACTGCTTACCACGTTTGTGAATAGTTGGAAGGAAGAATTCCATGTCCCCATCACCACTACCACTTCCATCAACCCTAAAGAGTTCAGCTACTTCACAAGGAGACACAGAGACACAACCCACACAACACACATTGACACAATGAGAAAATTGAGAGGTCTTAAAACATATCAAGCAAAGAGGAAAATGCAGTAATATTCACCCAATAACATGCATTCTTCCATAAGAAATGGATCATTTTAAATAGTAGAATTATAGCACCAGTCAAGCTACCAAATTATCAAAATTTCATTCAGTTTCATGAAATACTCCATGTAGACTGTAACTGTTACTTCCCAATTCTGTCAATCTAGTATTATTTTTAAATTTTCATTTTTTTACACCAACGTAAATTATTTTCTAATATCTTAGATATTTAAAATATATTTATCTGATTATATAATCATACACTTAGGCCTAATATGCCTGTGATAATCACCTTACCATTCACAACAACCAGTTCAATATTGAGAAATGCATCTAACCTTTCCTTCCATCCACACATTCAAATCCCCACCACATTTATTTACCATTCTCAAACTTGATCACCCTCTGGCCACTGGCATTGTGGAAAGAGTCCTAGACAAGTCACCTAACAATTCTGCTTTCCTGGTTGTGAAAGATGCCAGCTGTAAAAATTTCAGCAAGTCACTAAACTTCTTGGTATCTCAGTTTCCTCACCTATGAAAGATGCTGTCTTTTATTATAGAAATGTTGTTGCTATGGGTTGAATGTGTTCCCCAAAGTTCACATGTGGGAAATTTAATCGCAAATGCAACCGTGTTGAGAATTGGGACCTGTAAGGGGTGATCAGGTCATGACACCTCTGCCCTCATGAATAAATTAATGTTGTTATCCTGGGAGTGGGTTCATTATTGCAAGAATGGGTTTCTTGTAAAAGCAAGTTCAGCCCTCTCTTGCCCTCTCACATGCATTCTCTGACCATGTGGAGCCTTCCACTACGTTATTATGTATCTAGAATGCCCTAAAAGATGCAGTCCCCCAGTCTTGGACTTTCCAGCCTCGAGAACCATGAGCCACATAAACTTCTATTGCTTATAAATTGCCCAGTATGTGGTATTCTGTTATAGCAGCACGAAATGGACTAAGAGTTATAAAGATCAAATAAAATAATGGAAAATAAATAATATCATCAAAATATAAAATATAAAGTACTTTGGCAATAATAAAGAGAAAGTGGTTATACCTTTCCCTCTAATACATCTTGTACCCCAACCATTATTTTACCAAATGTTTGCAAACAAAGAAGATAGGAAGGGCAGTGATGACAGCAATAGAAAAAAAGGAGAGTAAAAATAGCAAAGCCACATCCATACGTATACGCTTCTACCAATATCCTTGATTGACATGCTAGTGTAAGATCTGCCCTCTCTTCTCCTTTTGCCCTGTGTTTTTGCCTGTCAATAGGATGGGAATATACCAGACATGAGAATGTATGGCACCCAGAACCTGAAATCATCATACAGATCCAAAAGGCAAAATGGATTTGCAGCAAATATCTGGTACATGGCTTTGCTCCCACATTATCCAGAAGTCATAAAAAAGAAGTTCAACACCATATATACTTTGGCTAGCGTAAGACATCTATTCAGGTTGTGGCTACCTTATGTAGAATCATCAGTTTCATCAGTTTTATAGTCAAAAAGCATGAAATAAGTCCTTGACTCTCCAAAGAATTAAGCTCTATAAGCTACTTGACATGTTAGACAGTCCCTACATATGAGTCCAGGAGTAGAGGTCATTGTATAAATTCCTTTTCCTCCAATCCCAACTCACGGAGGGATAAATCAGATTCTCGGCCACTATTGCTTCCTACGCAACTGCAAGGTTGGTTTTCTAGTGAGTATTCAAGTCCAATTAATATATAACAATGCATATTCTAGAGATATGGGGAGAAGTTTCTCAATAATATAACAAGTGTCACTATAAGTGGTCATATGATCACAAGTATTATTATCATCTCAATAACATTTCATGTACAATTATTAATCAGTATTAGCTCATGGTCACTAACATTTTCTCTTTCTATTACATAAGGATTTTTAGCTTTAAGTGACACAAAGGGCAACTTTTCAAATATTTTATAGTAACCTTTTTAGTAATGCAAATAGTGATTTGGAGATACAAGGACTTGTCTCTGGAAGACAAGAAAAGCTGGTATTTTTATATGCCACCTACTAGACAGCACATTTCTACTGTTTTATGCATTCAACCAAGCTCAGCACTGTTTAACCACTTCCCTGCTCCCAAACACTGGCTTGGTCTCCTTGCTCTTACCTGAGATTTGGGAACACAGGAAAGAAAAATTTTTGCATATTTACCCAAATTATCTATTTTATACATAAAGACAATTTTCGTATCTCAGTCCTACCAATTTTTCCTTTGGATGGCTTATGTACTATGGCTTTCTTCATCAAAATAATAAATAATAATAATGAGGTAATGATACCGGGTTTTGTAATGAAAGGGACTGTCCTGATAAACACCATATCATCTCTCAATTTCTCAAACTTATAAAGGTAATTAACAATGCATATCGTATGTATTCCATAACACTCCCAGTAGCACCTGATAAACACATTAACACTTTTGCAAAGTATTCCATCTAATTGGGATACATATTATCAATAGCCTCACTTAGCGCAGATGAGTTCTGTCATGAAATAAGTTTGACTCCAATAACCCTTGATAATCAGAGCTTTCTGAATAGCAGAACTGAAGTTAAGGTATTGTTGACTTCTTTTATTAATAATCAACTCATTATAGATCATCCAAAAGGACCAGATTTTACAGCGTTATATCTGTAGATAGATCTAGCAGAGCTACAGCAAAAAACAGAAAAGAGAGAGGTGACCTTAGGGGAACCTACCATGAATGAAAACTGTAATTTGGTGACTTAGTACACTTATACTTTTCACTCTAAAAGCACGTCTCTTCTAGAAAAATATCAGTGGGTAATAATAAGGGGGAAAAATAGCACGAACATGCTGTCCATATAATAAACAGAGATATTACTCAGAATTAACCAAACCTCATAGCGAAAGCATATCAATGTGAAACTATGAGTTGAATATTAATTTCTAAAACTAATTCTAAAAGTTTATGTAAAGAGGAAAATTTTCTTTTTACCAAGAAAGGGATTATCAATCAAAAATGATTGATATAGATTATATTACCACATATATTATGGTATATATTATCATGTATCTTAAGCAATTATTAACTTTCAGGCTGCTCTCTTCAAAAACTAATAATTTATTCATTTATTTAAGTAAGATTAATTCAAAGGAACTTACTTCCCTAAAGGAATCTACTTTCATCAGCATGGGTAGACAAGCAAATATTTAACATTTTTGAATCACCAGCCTTACCTCCTCCTTCCAAGTTTAACAACTCAACTTTAAAAGATTTTTCCAGTTCAGGAATAGAATTATCAGTGATGTTTATGAAAATGTATTTATATCTTTCTCCTGGTTGAAATTCTAATGTGCCAGCAACATTCTGAAATATAAAAGACTGATCCATTAGATTACAATCATTCTGTATATGAATAGATTACAATCATTCTGTACACAAATTTGTAAAATCAGAATGTTTGTTATATCCCAAATTATTATAAATGCTAAGAAGACAAGTAAAATACAACATTGAAAACACTTCAGTGTGTATGAATAATGTTCAATGTAAATTCTAAATAAATATTCTCCAATTAATTAGATAAAGTAGATTATTTCTTTTTTCTTTCTTTCTTTTCTTTTCTTTTTTTATTTTTCTTTTTTCTTTTTTTATTTTAGAGACAGAGTCTCACAATGTCACCAAGGCTGGAGTGCAGTGGTGGGATCATAGCTCACTATAGCCTTGAACTCGTAGGCTCAAGCAATCCTCCTGCCTCAGCATCCAGAGTAGCTGCACCACCACACCCAGCTAATCTGTTTTTTCTTTTTTTGTAGAGAAAGTGACTTGCGACGTTGCCCATGCTGGTGGCCTCAAGCAATCCTCTCGCCTTTGCCTCCCAAAGTGCTAGGATTACAGGCGTGAGTCACTATGTTCCAGGTACAGTGTATATCCCTTCCAGAGAAGGATTATGTCTGTTTTACAAGTGCAAATACAACTTCAAAAGGACTGAGTAAATTACCTGGTAATCCTCAGGACTGAATGCTGTCAAGGACACTGTTCTAAATTCCGCAGTCACCCTTCCCAGAAGTCCCTGTGCACGGATGACCAATAACCTGATTTCTCCATCTTCCTCCTCCACAGTGATATGTGGAACGCTGCTTGCAGGCAGGGTCATTGCGTCCTTAGGCTGAGGAGGCAGCCCTGTGGAGAACTGCAGCAAGCCTAGTGGAGACAAAGGGGCCAGGGCATTGTCCCAATGAACTGTGCAAGAATTTCTTATTCAATTAAAGCGATCTTACACAATTATTTTGATCACCAGGCCAAAATTCTGAGGGACTTTATTTAGAAAATATTTTAGCAAAGATTTAACTAACATGCTTTTGATACAGAATATGTTCATAAGCTTTCAGAATAATGAAAGTTAAATTGTTAATTTTCCAAGTCTTTACTCAAAGAAAGCTTTTCTTCCCACAGCAGCATCAATAGCAGGAATACTGATACAGTTTTAAAATACATATTTTCTAACTTTTACTCATATTTTTTTAGACTCTCCAGAAATCATTCTAGAACATATAGTAGAACAGGTTAAATGGCACCTTAAAGGAGTTGCAACACTTAAAAATAAACAAATCAACAAACAAACAAAACCTAACTATGAAAACTAAAGGTGAAAAGCCTCTCAAGATTTCTACCCAAACCTTTTAACAGATGTTCTTGATTCATTCCCATAGAAGAAATATTATTTTCCAATACAGAAAACATTCTCAATTTACTAGGACAGACATCTGTGATAGTTCCCCAATCGAGAAAATTGTCACTATTAAGCATAAGACAAAAAGAAATTAATATAGAGTGATAGCTTCACTTCTTGAAGCTTAATAAAATATAAATTACAAAGTATTTCAATTACTTAGGTGTTAACAAATCACCATAGGATAATTATTAAATTAAAGAAATTTGATAGCTATGAACAGAAATACTTTGTTCCATTTTAAATAATCCTGCAAAAACTTTTCAAAACATATTATTGAAGTTTGGAAACTGATCTTTATATTTTCTCTCATAAACAATGTCTCTCAAAACAGTAGCATACAAGTTAAAGAGTTTAGAAATTAGGAGGTCTGAAGGCATTCTACTTCCGTCATTTGCAAAAAGTGCCTTAAGAAGTTCTTAACAAAACTAAGTACACCCAGAGAAGAGAGGATTTTTCTTGCAAAAGGAGCAGGTTACCATATGGATGATCACTAGCTTTGATGGTGATATCAGTCGTTTCCTTTTCAGGATCTATGCTTGCACCACTGGTAGGAGTTGAGCCTAGCTTCCCATCTCCAGGAATTGCAGAAACCAATGTCACACGGAAATACTCATTAAGTTCAGGAATATCATCATCAAGAACATATATATTCAGAACCTAAAAATATAAATATCCAGAGGCACTAAGCAATGAGGCATTTAGAAATTACTTACTAGAAGAAAATTCAAAAGGCAACTAAATTATATTTAAATGAAGTTACCACTTACGACTTATTTCTGCATAAATTAAAACATTAAAACATTGTATGTGTGTGTGCATATGTGTGTATATAGACATATAAAGAGAAAGAGAAGTCTGAATAGATTAATTCCTTAAAAATAATGGATGCTGCTATAGTCTGAATGTCTTATCCTCCTGTCCCCCAAATTCCTATGTTAAAATCTAATCCCCAAAGTGATGGTATTAAAAGATGGGGTTTTCAGGAGGTGATGAGGGCTTGAGGATAGAGCCCTCATGAATGGAATTAGTGTTGAGGGAGTTTGTTTGCCCCTTCCACCGTGAGGAGGGCATATTGAGAAGGCACCATATCTTTGAAGCAGAGTAAGCCCTCACCAGACACAGAATCTACAGGCACCCTGCTCTCAGACGTCCCAGCCTCCAAAACTGCGAGCAATAACTTTCTGTTGTTTATAAGTTACCCAGTGTAAGGTATGTTGTTATAGCAGTCCCAACAGACTAAGGCAGGTGCTGAGCAGTAGCATTTTCTGACAGTAGCCTATACATGCATCAGTATTACATCATATATGATACGTTGATTTATCAATATAATATCATATATTTTTTGTACCAAAGACCGTGGTATTACCAACAACAGGTAGAGACTTCCCAATTAAGAAACTGCATGTTCTATGATGAGATGTGATAGGATAAGAAGCAAGGGCAATGTATCTGTGGCTAGCGTCTGCCTAAGGAGAGCCTGACGTGCTCAGGAACAGTATTTTAGAAAATAGATTCATAATGGGCCTTAGGAGTCCAGCACAAGCAATTAATCCAAAAAAAGTTATAAAAGGAATAGGAATAACTGAGCCATGCTCTACAAAATTTAATTCAAAATTTAAAGTGAAAAAACAATTTCTCCTTTCTTATTAATTAAACAAACATGTTTTGACATATGCAGTATGCTGGGGTTAGACATGGCCCCAGTCCCAATCTATCATAGGAGACAGATCCATAGGAAATCACTTAAAATCCAACGCAAAAATGTCATGATAAAGTTCTGTACAAAATAAAGTGATGAAGAAACTAACTCTACCTGATAAAGGTTTTACAGCAGACATGTTTGAAGCAAATTCTAATGTATCAGTTACAGTTGTAAATAATAATGGGAAGCGACACTTCAATCAAAAGCTGCAAAGAAATTACAGAACAAACACTTCAGGAAAAGCTTTCCAGGAGGCTTTCAAAGGAACAAAAAAGGTAGGGTTTACCTCTGATCTCTGCCAAGGAAGGAATGTAATAGTTCCACTGGCATTAGCAAAGTCATCAACAAGGTAATTAATGCCATCAGTTTCAATCTGTGAAATGGTGTAAAAAACATGCACATAATCCAGAGCTCCTCTGGTTCTCTCAACCACACAAGAAATGGTTGATCCCTCCTCTGCAATCTGAAATTGAATGTAAATTATTAATAGGTGCATAGCAATTCAAATCAGTGACAAAATTACAATGCTTCCATGAAATCCTTTTACCATAAACTTAATTCTACAACTTTCTACCTCTCTAAAAGGGACTAACGAGGCCTCTGCATTCCCCCAGATAAACTTTGACTGCTAAGAAATATTTACAATCATTCATTTTCTCCCATTCCATTATAGAGATAAATAAAGCAAAAAGAATTATAATGTCTTAACTGCACAAGTAATTCATTCATTGATACCTCCTGTGTTCCAACCACTGTGCCATATGCTATGGTTGCAAAATAGTTTTTAATGCATAGTCCTTTCTCTGGATAAGTAGAATTCTAAAGAGAAAGACAAACTTGCAATTTTATAATGGGCTCAGCACAGACAGACCAAATGGGGTGGGGGTTGGGGTAGAGGGTGGAACATGACATCAGAGAGAACTTTCTAGGCACAGACATAAGAAGCAATATAGTATATTTGGTGGTATCATTTTGGCGGGGTGGCATGAAGTGCCAAATGGGGAGATCCTTGAGAGATGCCTAGTGTGGGAACAACAGTCAGATCAAAGAGGGCATCTTATACCATGCTTAATATATTTGTTGGTGTTTTTATCATATAAACCTAGAGGTATTTTTTTCAAGTGGAAAATTTTTTATCTAAACACTTTAAGATAATGCTTTAAAACTCTATGGTGGAAGCAGCTGGAATATCATTTAGAGTAAGGCCTTCCTACTGTCAAATCCTCAGTCTCTCAATTCAATTTTATTTTTATGTTAGCAAATATATAGTTTGGAGAAAAAAGAACCAAAAATGAATACAGATAAAAATACAAGTTTTAATATATAAAATGCCATCTGTATTTTTCATATGAACCATAAGCATCTCTGATCAGGATAAGATAGAGCCATTTTGGTGCTGACATTTTGGAGAGGACAGATTTGGGATTTGTCTACAAACCGACAATAGTCGAAAGTTATCAATGAGTGTGGAGTCACCAGATGTTCCAGCAAATCCTCTGAGTTTCACTGAGCAGCAGCAACCTGGGTGTTCTCATGGTAAAGAGGATCGAGTACACCAGGGGCAACATTCTAACTCTTTTATTTGCCTGCTGGTCCATGGGCATGAGAGGCCCAAAACAACCAGGTGATAGGTCAGTGGGGCCCTCAGTTGTCTCCTAGCAGGCACATTCTTCCCCCAGCCCCACTGCCAGAACCAGAATTTCTAATCCAGTGGAGTCTAAAGTAGGAAACAAATTCAGGCAGTAGGTCACTAAAAGTAGCAGAGACAGGGGTCAGTCTCACTTTTACCTCCTGCTGCCTGAGCCTCTGCATTCTAGTTATTGGGGACACAGAAACAGATACCAGCCATTGAATGCACACACTGCATCCTGATGGACAATACTTCAACCTTCCAAGAAGCTGTCCTTAAGCCAGCACTGTGCCTGGGTCTTCAACAGGCCATTAAATTGTATGAGGCCAGCTACTTGAGGTGACATGGTATATGGTGAGGCCAGTGAATCAGTCCTATCACTACGTACCCATTGCTACACCTCCTTCATATTAGTCCCTTTGAGGCCGTGTGATGCGGGTCTCCATGTGGTTAAAGCTGGCATTCTTTATGCCTTCAGATGATGGTGCTTGTATTAGGATGTATTAGGAGGCTAAAGTAAATACATTAGCCAAAGTATTAATTCCAATAAGAATGAATTGCTGTTTCCTTTGGAGTGATAAAGTCTGGTTGGGATCAGTGTACCAGTAAATGGTTTATTGAGAAGTACTTAGCTTTGGTCTCTGCTGCTTGCTGTTTGGACATTCAGCAACCACCAGTTGCTACATCAGTCTTGGTAAGAGGGAGCTCATGCTGTCAAACCTATGCATAACCTCCATCCCTACCATCATGCTGTTAATGGCACTGTGGTGACAAAGGAGAGTCTGGCCGATATGCAACAGAGCCTCACTCTGATTTCACGGTTGTTGAGAACCTTTTGGGAAACACCCCCTCATACTCAGTGTTAACTCCTGGCAATCTATTCACATGACTTCTCCCCAAACATCTTTGTCTCTAGTCTTGATTCTTCCAAGCCCCTCACCGATCAACTACACCATAAGCACTGCTCAGGGTTGAAGCAGTAGCTTCATACTTCAGGCCATTTCTCCATCCACAAAAGATAAATGGCTAAGTGGACAGTTTACAGCTCTGCCCTCTGACCTTCAGAAACACCTCTGATTAGGGCACTAGAGAAGCATCAGCCCACTTACAGCAAGTAGCAACATATGAAGCCCAGGCATCTCTGAAGCAGGTTTGACTTTCCTCCTGTATCAGTCACAGGTTTTGGGTAAGAATCAAAGGGCTTAAAATATGCCTAGTTTGAAGTGTCTATGAAATAAATATCCTAGAAATGCATCAAGTTGTAACTAAAGAAATGAGTCTGGAATTTTAGAGAAAAGATGAGATTGACATCATAAATTTGGAAGTTATCAATATATAAATGATATTTAAAGCCATGTAAAATTGGTGGATAAATATATAATTATACAAATGGTATTCGAAAACCAGTTGCGACAGCAGGGGGAGTGTAGATGGAGAGGAGAAGAGGACCAAGTACATTTAATTCTGCTATAACACTTATTTTGAAATCATGAAATTGTTCCAATGCAATTGATAATATATTGGGGAACAATTTGAATACAGCCTCAACTTGCATTTGCTTATAAGTGCTATTTCATCCACAAGAAACTTGGTGAACACAGAAAATTGTACCCACGTGAAACAAGCCACATACCTCAAACACATACCTCAAACAACTACCAGCTACTCAGTTCAACACCTGTGTTACTAGCCACACTTAACCACATCTAGTGTTATAATTTTCCTCCAATTTTAGATAATGCTCATTCTATCATTTCACAATAACACACAAGCTGCAATCCTTCTGATGCCCACTTCTACAAGTAAACTTAAAGTTTTTTAAAGATAATATGCCATATCTATTGTGGTTTATAAGTATTAAATATTTAATGTGTACAACATTTTTATCAGGTCTCTATTTTTTTTAAGTGTCAACGACCAAGTCCTTGAGCAGTGTTTTCCTAACCCCATCTTTTCCATAAGTTCTGTGTTTCTCATTATGCATCTGGCATAGTGTGATGATTTTTAAGAATCCATCCATCATGTCATGGCGGAACTGACTGTCCTGAAGGTAGGGCACTCCAACCTTAAGATGTTGGACAGAAGAGGAGAATGCAGCTTGAGACCCAGGTGTCAATACAACATCAGATTTAATTTCCACTTAGGGATCTACATCAGGATTTTCATGCTAGCCGAATGGTACATGAGCAAATGTGTGGTGGAAAGAGTATGGCTTTAAGGCCAAGCAGTCCTGAGCTTCCTCATTCTACCACTTATCAAGCATTCACAGTCTCCTCTGAAAATGGGGATCGTAACATCTCATGAGTTAAATTAATAAACCATTAATCTTAATATGTAAATATAAAATCTTTTCCCTTTTCAGCAAGAGGCATTAGTTAAATAGATCCAAAGAGACACTAAGAAATGTATAATGGTTTCTTTTACAAACTTAAATTTTTATCAAGTCAGTAAGCATTAGCACATAGCATTTAGGACTAAGATGAGGATTTTGTTTGCAAAAGTCACAGGGAAAAGTTACCTAACTATATTTTTATTTACTAAAACCTTCATCAAAACCTATAGCTTCCTGAATATTTTCAGTTTAAAAAAATCACTATTCATATCTAATAAAAGAATGTACAGTTACACGCTATATATCAACACTTTATAGAAAATTTAATGAATATTTTGTACAATAAAGTAAATTTTTTAAGTTCTAAAAGAGCTTTCGAATGTCAAGCGTCCATTAAAAAAAACTACCAGGGGGAGGAGCCAAGATGGACGAATAGGAACAGCTCTGGTCTACAGCTCCCAGCATGAGCAACGCAGAAGACGGGTGATTTCTGCATTTCCATCAGAGGTACCAGGTTCATCTCACTAGGGAGTGCCAGACAGTGGGCGCAGGTCAGTGGGTGCGCGCACCATGCGGGAGCCGAAGCAGGGTGAGGCATTGCCTCACTCGGGAAGCGCAAGGGGTCAGGGAGTTCCCTTTCCTAGTCAAAGAAAGGGGTGACGGACGGCACCTGGAAAATCGGGTCACTCCCACCAGAATACTGCACTTTTCCGACGGGCTTAAAAAACGGCGCACCACGAGATTATACCCCGCACCTGGCTCAGAGGGTCCTACACCCATGGAGTCTCGCTGATTGCTAGCACAGCAGTCTGAGATCAAACTGCAAGGCGGCAGCGAGGCTGGGGGAGGGGCGCCCGCCATTGCCCAGGCTTGCTTAGGTAAACAAAGCAGCCTGGAAGCTCAGACTGGGTGGAGCCCACCACAGCTCAAGGAGGCCTGCCTGCCTCTGTAGGCTCCACCTCTGGGGGCAGGGCACAGACAAACAAAAAGACAGCAGTAACCTCTGCAGACTTAAATGTCCCTGTCTGACAGCTTTGAAGAGAGCAGTGGTTCTCCCAGTACGCAGCTGGAGATCTGAGAACGGGCAGACTGCCTCCTCAAGTGGGTGCCTGACCCCTGACCCCCGAGCAGCCTAACTGGGAGGCACCCCCCAACAGGGGCACACTGACACCTCACACGGCAGGGTACTCCAACAGCCCTGCAGCTGAGGGTCCTGTCTGTTAGAAGGAAAACTAACAAACAGAAAGGACATCCACACCAAAAACCCATCTGTACATCACCATCATCAAAGACCAACAGTAGATAAACCACAAAGATGGGGAAAAAACAGAACAGAAAAACTGGAAACTCTAAAAAGCAGAGCGCCTCTCCTCCTCCAAAGGAACGCAGTTCCTCACCAGCAACGGAACAAAGCTGGATGGAGAATGACTTTCACCAGCTGAGAGAAGAAGGCTTCAGACGATCAAATTACTCTGAGCTACGGGAGGACATTCAAACCAAAGGCAAAGAAGTTGAAAACTTTGAAAAAAATTTAGAAGAATGTATAACTAGAATAATCAATACAGAGAAGTGCTTAAAGGAGCTGATGGAGCTGAAAACCAAGGCTCGAGAACTACGTGAAGAATGCAGAAGCCTCAGGAGCTGATGCAATCAACTGGAAGAAAAGGTATCAGCGATGGAAGATGAAATGAATGAAATGAAGCGAGAAGGGAAGTTTAGAGAAAAAAGAATAAAAAGAAATGAGCAAAGCCTCCAAGAAATATGGGACTATGTGAAAAGACCAAATCTACGTCTGATTGGTCTACCTGAAAGTGATGGGGAGAATGGAAGCAAGTTGGAAAACACTCTGCAGGATATTATCCAGGAGAACTTCCCCAATCTAGCAAGGCAGGCCAACGTTCAGATTCAGGAAATACAGAGAACGCCACAAAGATACTCCTCGAGAAGAGCAACTCCAAGACACATAATTGTCAGTTTCACCAAAGTTGAAATGAAGGAAAAAATATTAAGGGCAGCTAGAGAGAAAGGTCGGGTTACCCTCAAAGGGAAGCCCATCAGACTAACAACGGATCTCTTGGCAGAAACCCTACAAGCCAGAAGAGAGTGGGGGCCAATATTCAACATTCTTAAAGAAAAGAATTTTCAACCCAGAATTTCATATCCAGCCAAACTAAGCTTCATAAGTGAAGGAGAAATAAAATACTTTACAGAAAAGCAAATGCTGAGAGATTTTGTCACCACCAGGCCTGTCCTAAAAGAGCTCCTGAAGGAAGCGCTAAACATGGAAAGGAACAACCGGTACCAGCCGCTGCAAAATCATGCCAAAATGTAAAGACCATCGAGACTAGGAAGAAACTGCATCAACTAACAAGCAAAATAACCCGCTAACATCATAATGACAGGATCAAATTCACACATAACAATACTAACTTTAAATGTAAATGGACTAAATGCTCCAATTAAAAGACACAGACTGGCAAATTGGATAGTCAAGACCCATCAGTGTGCTGTATTCAGGAAACCCATCTCACGTGCAGAGACACACATAGGCTCAAAATAAAAAGATTGAGGAAAATCTACCAAGCAAATGGAAAACAAAAAAAGGCAGGTGTTGCAATCCTACTCTCTGATAAAACACACTTTAAACCAACAAAGATCAAAAGAGACAAAGAAGGCCATTACATAATGGTAAAGGGATCAATTCAACAAGAAGAGCTAACTAGCCTAAATATATATGCACCCAACAAAGGAGCACCCACATTCAAAAAGCAAGTCCTGAATGACCTACAAAGAGACTTAGACTCCCACACATTAATAATGGGAGACTTTAACACCCCACTGTCAACATTAGACAGATCAACGAGACAGAAAGTCAACAAGGATACCCAGGAATTGAACTCAGCTCTGCACCAAGCGGACCTAATAGACATCTACAGAACTCTCCACCCCAAATCAACAGAATATACATTTTTTTCAGCACCACACCACACCTATTCCAAAATTGACCACGTACTTGGAAGTAAAGCTCTCCTCAGCAAATGTAAAAGAACAGAGATTATAACAAACTATCTCTCAGACCACAGTGCAATCAAACTAGAACTCAGGATTAAGAATCTCACTCAAAACCGCTCAACTACATGGAAACTGAACAACCTGCTCCTGAATGACTACTGGATACATAACGAAATGAAGGCAGAAATAAAGATGTTCTTTGAAACCAACAAGAACGAAGACACAACATACCAGAATCTCTGGGACGCATTCAAAGCAGTGTGTAGAGGGAAATTTATAGCACTAAATGCCCACAAGAGAAAGCAGGAAAGATCCAAAATTGACACCCTAACATCACAATTAAAAGGACTAGAAAAGCAAGAGCAAACACATTCAAAAGCAAGCAGAAGGCAAGAAATAACTAAAATCAGAGCAGAACTGAAGGAAATAGAGACACAAAAAACCCTTCAAAAAATTAATGAATCCAGGAGCTGGTTTTTTGAAAGGATCGACAAAATAAATAGACCGCTAGCAAGACTAATAAAGAAAAAAAGAGAGAAGAATCAAATAGACGGAATAAAAAATGATAAAGGGAATATCACCACTGATCCCACAGAAATACAAACTACCATCAGAGAATACTACAAACACCTCTACGCAAATAAACTAGAAAATCTAGAAGAAATGGATAAATTCCTCAACACATACACTCTCCCAAGACTAAACCAGGAAGAAGTTGAATCTCTGAATAGACCAATAACAGGTTCTGAAATTGTGGCAATAATCAATAGTTTACCAACCAAAAAGAGTCCAGGACCAAACGGATTCACAGCCGAATTCTACCAGAGGTACAAGGAGGAACTGGTACCATTCCTTCTGAAACTATTCCAATCAATAGAAAAAGAGGGAATCCTCCCTAACTCATTTTATGAGGCCAGCATCATTCTGATACCAAAGCCAGGCAGAGACACAACCAAAAAAGAGAATTTTAGACCAATATCCTTGATGAACACTGATGCAAAAATCCTCAATAAAATACTGGCAAACCGAATCCAGCAGCACATCAAAAAGCTTATCTACCATGATCAAGTGGGCTTCATCCCTGGGATGCAAGCTGGTTCAATATACGCAAATTAATAAATGTAATCCAGCATATAAACAGAGCCAAAGACAAAAACCACATGATTATCTCAATAGATACAGAAAAGGCCTTTGACAACATTCAACAACCCTTCATGCTAAAAACTCTCAATAAATTAGGTATTGATGGGACGTATTTCAAAATAATAAGAGCTATCTATGACAAACCCACAGCCAATATCATACTGAATGGGCAAAAACTGGAAGCATTCCCTTTGAAAACTGGCACAAGACAGGGATGCCCTCTCTCACCACTCCTATTCAACATAGTGTTGGAAGTTCTGGCCAGGGCAATTAGGCAGGAGAAGGAAATAAACGGTATTCAATTAGGAAAAGAGGAAGTCAAATTGTCCCTGTTTGCAGATGACATGATTGTATATCTAGAAAACCCCACTGTCTCAGCCCAAAATCTCCTTAAGCTGATAAGCAACTTCAGCAAAGTCTCAGGATACAAAATCAATGTACAAAAATCTCAAGCATTCTTATACACCAACAACAGGCAAACAGAGAGCCAAATCATGAGTGAACTCCCATTCACAATTGCTTCAAAGAGAATAAAATACCTAGGAATCCAACTTACAAAGGATGTGAAGGACCTCTTCAAGGAGAACTACAAACCACTGCTCAAGGAAATAAAAGAGGATACAAACAAATGGAAGAACATTCCATGCTCATGGGTAGGAAGAATCAATATCGTGAAAATGGCCATACTGCCCAAGGTAATTTACAGATTCAATGCCATCCCCATCAAGCTACCAATGACTTTCTTCACAGAATTGGAAAAAACTGCTTTAAAGTTCATATGGAACCAAAAAAGAGCCCGCATCGCCAAGGCAATCCTAAGCCAAAACAACAAAGCTGGAGGCATCACACTACCTGACTTCAAACTATACTACAAGGCTACAGTAACCAAAACAGCATGGTACTGGTACCAAAACAGAGATATAGATCAATGGAACAGAACAGAGCCCTCAGAAATAACGCCGCATATCTACAACTATCTGATCTTTGACAAACTTGAGAAAAACAAGCAATGGGGAAAGGATTCCCTATTTAATAAATGGTGCTGGGAAAATTGGCTAGCCATATGTAGAAAGCTGAAACTGGATCCCTTCCTTACACCTTATACAAAAATCAATTCAAGATGGATTAAAGACTTAAACATTAGACCTAAAACCATAAAAACCCTTGAAGAAAACCTAGGCATTACCATTCAGGACACAGGCATGGGCAAGGACTTCATGTCTAAAACACCAAAAGCAATGGCAACAAAAGACAAAATTGACAAATGGGACCTAATTAAACTCAAGAGCTTCTGCACAGCAAAAGAAACTACCATCAGAGTGAACAGGCAACCTACAAAATGGGAGACAATTTTCGCAACCTACTCATCTGACAAAGGGCTAATATCCAGAATCTACAATGAACTCAAACAAATTTACAAGAAAAAAACAAACAACCCCATCAAAAAGTGGGCGAAGGACATGAACAGACACTTCTCAAAAGAAGACATTTATGCAGCCAAAAAACACATGAAAAAATGCTCATCATCACTGGCCATCAGAGAAATGCAAATCAAAACCACAATAAGATACCATCTCACACCAGTTAGAATGGCAATCATTAAAAAGTCAGGAAACAACAGGTGCTGGAGAGGATGTGGAGAAACAGGAACACTTTTACACTGTTGGTGGGACTGTAAACTAGTTCAACCATTGTGGAAGTCAGTGTGATGATTCCTCAGGGATCTAGAACTAGAAATACCATTTGACCCAGCCATCCCATTACTGGGTATATACCCAAAGGACTGTAAATCATGCAGCTATAAAGACACATGCACACGTATGTTTATTGCGGCATTATTCACAATAGCAAAGACTTGGAACCAACCCAAATGTCCAACAATGATAGACTGGATTAAGAAAATGTGGCACATATACACCATGGAATACTATGCAGCCATAAAAAATGATGAGTTCATGTCCTTTGTAGGGACATGGATGAAACTGGAAATCATCATTCTCAGTAAAGTATCGCAAGAACAAAAAACCAAACACCACATATTCTCACTCATAGGTGGGAACTGAACAATGAGATCATATGGACACAGGAAGGGGAACATCACACTCTGGGGACTGTTGTGTGGTGGGGGGAGGGGGAAGGGATAGCATTGGGAGATATACCTAATGCTAGATGACGAGTTAGTGGGTGCAGAGCACCAGCATGGCACACGTATACATATGTAACTAACCTGCACAATGTGCTCATGTACCCTAAAACTTAAAGTATAATAATAAAAGAAAAAAAAGAAAAAAAGAAAAAAAAAACTACCAGGATTCTCAGTGCAAATCCACCTTTAATACTTCTGAATTTACAGAGAAATAACATAACGCCTGAGGTTTGCTTTAAAAAGTACTTTAACTGGCTGGGCACGGTGGCTTACACCTGTAATCCCAGCACTTTGGGAGGCTGAGGTAGGTGGATCACGAGGTCAGGAGATCGAGACCATCCTGGCTAACACAGTGAAACCCCGTCTCTGCTAAAAATACAAAAAATTAGCCGGGCATGGTGGTGGGCGCCTGTAGTCCCAGCTACTCGGGAGGCTGAGGCAGGAGAATGGCGTGAACCCGGGAGGTGGAGCTTGCAGTGAGCCATGATCGCATCACTGCACTCCAGCCTGGGTGGGCGACAGAGCGTGACTCCGTCTCAAAAAAAAAAAAAAAAAAAAGTTGTTTAACCAAAAATGATTAAACAATATTGCCAAAAGGCTGATAATTATTGAAGCTAGTACACTGTGACTCATTCCTTTATCTTCTCTATTTTTGTGTATACTCTATATATGAAAACTTTCATTTAAAAAGGTTTTCTAATTCAGCTTAAACTTCCCCTCTCCCCTAGCCAGAGATTGTGATCCAGGAATGGGGTCCTGAGTCAGGAATAATGTCCAGTAATAAGCATTAGATATTTCTGACAAGGTCATCCAAGGGCAACACTTTCAGAAATACTAGACTCCGGTATGTAATTATTAATACAGAAATGCATAAGACATAGAAAATAAATATCTAAACCTTTTTTCTAATATTAAAATATTCATCTAATTGAGTTTAGAATTATGATACAAACAAACATTTAGGCCAGTATATGAAGGGGCCTAACATCCATAATAATCATCAAACCATCCCCAAACAGTTTCTCACTAGACACAATAATACTCACTACCGTCTCCTCTTTTAAGTCAGGAATTTGCCAAATATTCAGATCATCAGAACAGTAATAATAAACAGAAATAGTAAGACGAGTTTTTGAAACCTATTTTCTTAGAAAAAATAATGCAGTATTCTGAACCATGAATTGGCCTTCTCTATTGCAATAGAAAATTAAAGCTACAAATCCAATTAATTTTTAATTTTGTTTCATGCATGGGTGATGATTGGTGATATCGGATTATACCAATATCACTTATATCCCAAGGAATCTATTCACATAGCACATGGTAGGCACTTAAAAACAAATATAGTCCAAGTTGAAATGATATTCTTGTTTTCATGAAGATCTTCCCAAAGTGTCTTTAATTGATTCTTAAGCCATAGTTTATAAATATAACATATAATGCAAGTATTAGTTATAAAAAATAAAACAATACGATTAGCAAGTTCTATGAATCACTATGAAAGCAACTTCATTAATTTATAATTACGTGGTATACAATTTGGCAGGACACGTAAAAACAGTGCTAAAATATGGTACAGAGAAAATAACATAGGAAATACACAGAACAACAAAATATGGGGAAGAAACATGAGAATGTGGTTACTAGGCTATAGATCTAACAAAATCCATCTTCTGTTCAATACAGATCCCACTTGGAATCCAAAGCACTATTTGGCATGCCTCACCAGGACCCTAAACTGCTTCACAGGTTTTATTCATTCTTTCAATTATAGTTTATTAAGCACCTGCTCTTTGCCGGGACATAGTGTACCTGGTTGGTAGAAAACAAATCACAGAATAATTACCTTCTCTTTCAATGTGCCAAATAGCAGGCTATGTCAGAGTCTACATATTTTCATTATCTGTTTAAGATGTCATTATGCTATCATTTTAACCTTAATATTACTTTATGTCATATTAATCTATGAAAAAGGTAAAAGCATAACATAACTCAGAAGGCCTATTTTAAATTTTTTTAATTTTTATTTCAATTTAAAATAGACAAGGGGGTCTCACTATGTTGCCTAGGCTGTTCTCAAACTCCTAGGCTCAAGAGATCCTCCCACCTCAGCTTCCCAAAGTGCTGGAATTACAGGCGTGAGCCACTGTGCCCAGCCCAGAGTCTTTATAGGGTCTCTATTGCATTCAGAAATTTTGAGGGAATTTTTTTTAACGTTAAATTGTCAATGTCATTGCAACAACATAATGGAGAAGAATCTATGGAAGTGGCTGTAGTCTTTATTTCTAAAAATGAAGCAAGTGATCATAAAATTTGAACTCAGAAGATAATTACAAGCACAGACTAAACCAGCAGTTCTCAAATGTTTTAGTTTCAGGACCCCTGTACACATCAAAACTATTGAGAACCCCAGAGAGTTTTTGTTGATATCATTAAAATCTGCTGATATTTTCCATATTCAAATGAAAAATTAAAAATTTAAATATTGATAACTCATTTTAAGACAGCAATAATAAACCCATTACATGCTAACATAAACAACATATTTTATGAGAAATAACTACAGTTCTCGAAAAAAAATTAGTGATAAGGGGGTATTATTTTATATTTTTAAAAGTCTCCTTAATGTCTGGCTTAATAGAAGACAGCTGGATTCTCCTAGCTCCTCTTGCAATCAATTTGTCTGTTTCTTTTTCTTTTTCTTTTTTTTTTTCTCTGAGACAGAGTCTTGTGTCACCCACGCTGGAGTGCAGTGGCACCATCTCGGCTCACTGCAAGCTCTGCCTCCTGGGTTCACACCATTCTCCTGCCTCAGCTTCACGAGTAGCTGGCACTACAGGTGCCCACCACCACACCCGGCTAATTTTTTGTATTTTTAGTAGAGACGGGGTTTCACCATGTTAGCCAGGATGGTCTCGATCTTCTGACCTCATGATCCGCCCGCCTCAGCATCCCGAAGTGCTGGGATTACAGGCGTGAGCCACCGCGCCCGGCCTGTTTCTATCTTTTACTTTGGTTAAAGTGTATAAAGAAAATCCAGCCTTATATATACATGTGTGTAACAGAAAAAGGAAGAGGATTTTACTAGTCTTTTCAGATAATTATGGGTATTTTTCCTTGACATTATACCAAAATCCAAAATTTGACAAGTGGCAGTTTCTTAGCATTTAGCTGCAACCTGGAAACATACTCTAGTACTTTAAAATCTACTGGTCTACCTTGTACTTTGGAACAGTCTTTTACCCAGGCATGATTTGCAACAATATGCATTGATTACTTGAAAAATACTAGTTACTGAGTTATACAGATCTTCAAAATGTTGACACATATTATACAAAATAATCACACTGGTTAATGTCACTATCACACTGGTTAATATCACTATCACACTGGTTAATAACGCACCTATATTATGGATTATCAGAAAGGTGCATAAAATGTAATATGTAGAAGTTCTTTGATAGCTGAATACCTATTTAAAGGTATTATCCACTATATGTAAACATCTTTCTTTTCAAGTTGTAGATTTGTATGACATTTGTTATTGCTAGTCTAGGATATGCTATTTCTGATGTAAAAAAAGGACCATACTATTTGAAGATCTCTTAAGACTGCCACCAAACCAAAGGGCTAAAGTGGCAAGAAAGACACTCCAGAGAGGCAGACATCCCAGTTTAAGCTAGAATGAGCCTATGACCTAGATTTTTTTTCAAACTCTACTCATCCATTTTTAAAAAATCATTTCAATTTACTTATACATCCTTCTAAACCAATTAGAATCAACTTGCAAAAAGAAAGACTCTTGTTCCTTGGCATCCTTTCATGGTCACCAAGCTGTTGCTGTCACACAGAACACCTGGGAAGTAGTTTCATGAGTTCTCACATTACTGAACAGGAAACCAAGATGATTACGAATCTTTGAAAACATGGAAAGAACTGATAAGGACAGTAAGACAGCCTAATGAATTAAGCTGGCCAAGAAGGTTGATAAGAAAGGTATTTACACCCAACATGGAAGAAAGTGATAACTAACTACTCAAGTACGTTTCACATGTAAAAAAAAAAAAATCAAAAAATCATATTTTAATAAAGTTGCAAATACAATTATTCATACAAGCCTTCAATATATATTATTTCATTCAATTTAATGACATCCAAAACAGTAGCCAAAAATAAATAGGTAGAGTATACACATACGTTCTTTGAAGAGCATTAACTTTCAGGCGAATTGCTAAAGTTTCATTTGCTAACTTGTTATTACTTCTATCAGCTCATTAAGTTGATCCAAAGGGTGAACTCATAAGAGTAAGAATTTTGTAATTTATATTTGCAATCACTGGCCCTAGCATACTTCTGGACTTGGAGTAGATGCGCAACCAATCTTACCAAATGAAAGAAAGCCGAGTCCCAAACAAATCCACCTACAATGAATTTTTAAATCCAAAATTCTCCAAGCTCACTACTTACCTCTGGTATACAAGCTCCTGTGAAACCAAACAAGCCATTTGCATTGTCACTTTTTTGTATTGTTAATCTTGCAGTAGTATTTTCTTCCGAAATACGAGCTCCTCCATATACAGAAACTAGTTTAAGAATGAATAATTCTTCTCCTTCCTCGTCATTGTCATCTCTTGCAGAAATAATGAATGATTTGTTAGTTTCTCCCTGTCTGAACTCCAGATATCCAGAAATTGGGTGTAAATCACTTTTTGCGGGCATGGCATGAAGTTCATAAATTTCTTCAAGCGTCAGTTTCCGCTCATAGGACCTCACATCCTGCATCAGACCTGTAAATCTGTCATTGCCATTTATCCCTGCTCCAATTCTCAGTATCCCAGGACCTGAAATTAGAGACAAGTTTAAATGCTACAATACCTTCAAGTGTCCTGTCCTAAATTTTACGTGTGATTCAGAAAGTAAGACAATTTTACTGAAAGATATTTTTGGATAAATGAAACTTTTGCATAACTAGTATACAATGAATTGGATATTATCTTCTATTATGATTTTAAAAAAGGAATCCATAATCATTAGGATTTATATTTTGTACTAAAAGAATTGGTAACTATCTTCAAATTAGATGATATACTTAAAAGTAACTTCTATCAGTCTGTCAACATTTCTAGAAAAAAAAGTATCTGAACATACACATACACACACATACATACACACGTATGCATGTATGTATGTGCACGTATTTGGATAGAAATTTATTCTATGGTATTTTAAAATTTACTCTTGCACATTTAAAAATGGACTTATTCATCACAATTTTTAATTATGTATTTATTTATTTATGTACTTTAGAGACAAGATCTTGCTCTTTTACCCAGGCTAGAGTGCAATGGCATGTTAATAGCTCACTGTGACCTCAAACTCCTGGGTTCGAGCAATCCAACCACCTCAGACTAACAAATAGCAAGGACATCACTACAGGAGTCCACTGCCAGGCCTGGCTTTTTTTGTTGTTGTTGTTTTGTTTTTTTTGTAGAGACAGGGTCTTGCTATGTTGCCCAGGCTGGTCTCAAACTCCTGGCCTCAAGCGATCCTCCCAAAGTGCTTAGATGGGAGGATCGCTTGAGGCGCAATTACAGGCATGGGCCACTGCACCTAGCCTCATCACAATTTTTAAACTTCAGTACTATATTATTATTTAAGAACTTCAAGGCTTGATATGTTAGACACTCATTGAGTTAAAGTTGTGAGAATTCATAAGAAGTATTTCTACAGGCCAAATATATCTCTCTATCCAAACAACTAAGAGAATAGATGTAAAAATAGAAATATTTCTTCTCAGAAACATTATATGTAAGTCTTGGGGACTTTTAAAAATAATAATAACATGTAGCCCAACTGTGTCACTATATCTCAATAACAAACCTTTTCATGCTTTCACTAGTTCTCCTTTCTTTACCTGTTCGTACTCTAATAACTCAACTAAGATATTTATGTAAGATCTTTAGGCAAGATGAGATATTGGCAGAGATTCTGGAAAAAAAAGTACAAGCAATATTTCTTGTCAATAACCTCAGTGGAGGCTGTTTCACAAATCTCCACCCAGATGTCTTTCAGGGTAGTCACAAGTATCTGGCATGTTACTGTCATGACAGCTCCCATACCGACTACAGAGACCACCTTCCTGCCCAGCAAACCAGAAACACCTTTTCACTGGAGCTCCAGATTCAATGGGAAATCCTATGTTGTCTCTCCTATTGAATTATCTGGCAACTGTAATGATATAAGTTCCCCTGATTCTCACAAAACCACATCATGGTTCTCACTGTTAGGATGCTATCTGGAGTCAAGGATATAGAAATGATCACATCTCCTTTAGTTCTGTCTCTATGGTATGTTAAAAGGAATACTGACCTAGGAGTTAATGGTTTATTTTCATGTCTTGGTTCCTCTGTTACTTGCCTGTGTGATGCTAGCGAATTTATTTACTGACTCTGACCTCTATTTAATATATTGAATTATTATGAAGTACAAATTAGGTAATGTATGGAAAATGCCTTATAAATGTAAAACATTATACATATTTGAGGATTCTAAGCACTTTGCTTCTATGACTAATTCTCTGGGACAAACCTGATCATTATTTCTCTACTTGTAGTGTTAACTACTTAAGTTACAATGCTAAATCATTCAAAATAAAAGTTATAAAAATGCCAATATGTTACAGTGGTTCATGGAGGGAATATGGCATCTTTCACTCTGCATCTTAATACTATTCTATACTTTTCAAATTTCATGCAATATACATGTATCATTTTGACAATAAAGAAGAAAAATTGTGAAATATGTATACAGTGTGTGTATACGAACATGTTAACAGTATGCTTAATGTTTATAGTGGCTATCTCTGAATGACTGTAAATGATTCTTATAATGATTGTAAATGATTTTTATTGTAAATGATTTCTATTTTTGTTGTATATGTGTACTTTACAATTTTTCTATATTGAACACAGCATTATTTTTTTTTAAATACACCTTTTATGATACTGTGAGATGCCACTACAAACCAAAAGTAAAGATGGAAGAAGCTAAGCATTAATTAAGTGGAACTCTCATACACTAGAGGTGAGAGTATAATTAGGTTCAACTGTTTTGGAAAAAGGATAGGCATTATCTACTAAAACCGAATATTTGCACACACTGTCATTCAGCAATTCCATCCCCAGGAATGTGCTCAACAGAAATGCATATGGCAGGCATATGTTCATCAAAAAACATGTATAAGAGTATCCATAGAAGTACTATATGTAGTAGGCAGAACAGAAAACAACCAAAACAGAAATTGAAAGTAGCACTAATAAATAAATTGTGTTACAGTTACATAAGATAATTCTATATGGTAATGAGCATGAAATATCTACAGCAGGCAAAAATATGGATGAACTTCACAAACAATACTGAGCAAAAGAAGCTGGACACTCAAGTGTACATACTGTTCAGTTCTATTTATATAAATTTAAAAATAGGAAAAGTGAATCTTAAGCTCTTAAAAATGCCAATAGTCAGTAGGCAGGGTGGTGAGTTAGCAACTGGAGGAGTCAAAGGGGGCTTCTGGAATGCTGTTTCTTGGTCTGGGGGCTGATCACATGAGTGCTGAAACTGATGAATTTAAGTTTTAAAAATTTCACTTATCTGTACACTTACAATATGCATACTTTTATATTTTTATAATATAAAGGGCACTACAGTTCAATAACTTTACATATAGTTTAAAAATTATCTTTCCAAATTACAAAGTACAAAAATAACAAGTTCCTCTGCAGTAAGTCAGAGGAAAAAACACCAGCTCCCACTTCCCCCAATCGTTTCCATTCTCATTCCACCACCACTACCATCACCAAAAGAATCAAGGCTAACAGATACTTGTAGGTATTCACACAGCCAAAAAGTGGATAATACCACAAAGTGCTTGTAACCAAAATCCATGGGATTGAAATTGGTAGATACGTGCATTTTCCTTTGCCTATCTTTTTTTCCCCCTCTGGGAAAAAAAATAGAACCAAATAACTAATGTAAGAGGTTCAGAGGAAAATACTCTATTAAGCTATAGCCATATAAGCTCTACTCTATCTTTCACGAAATATAAAAAAGAATAAAATCATAAGATGGAGGGGCTGAGAGGGAATGGTGACTATAATGCATATAACCAGTATTTGTGTGCACACACACACAAATGTGCTTCTTGAGGAATCAGCATATGATCTAGTTTAAAGACAACAAAGAATATCTCTTCAAAGCACTCTGTAGAATTCACCAAGTTACCTGCTGATAGTATGAACCCTATAATCACTTTTCACTGTGATTCTTCTCTCCTGCTTTCTTTTCAACCTCACGCCCACCACCCTCTACCTTCAGCAATACTGAACTAGCAGCAGTTCCCCAGGTGCAACACGCTGTTTCACATTTCTATTCCTTTGTTCATTCCTCTGCAGGAATATCACTCCCCATCTCTCCTACTACCCACAGAAGGACAAACATTCCTCTTTCATATTTTTTTCTGTCTTCCTACAGGGTGTCATTGTGATATATCACACATCTCTCTGCTAGGGTTTATTCCAGGTTCTTTAAGGGCAAAATTCTCTGATTCATTTCTGTAACACTCAGGACAGAATTTCTCATTATCTTGGTAGGCACATAGTTTTGATTAAAGAAATTAAACCAATGCATAAGTAGAGTTTTCAAATACATGTTAGCACTTTTTTAAAAATCTAAATTTTAATGAAAAATTTTAGAAACTGCAAATTTCAGTGTCCTAGTTGTGATGATGACCCTCACCGTCAGTAATGGCTTCTCCTTTCAGACTCTTGATTCCCCTGGGCATTGCATTTCCATCCAGGTAGAATTCGATTATACCATCCTCCAGGATAATTAGTAGATGAAGCCAAACACTTTCTTCTAAATATTTCATGACTGTTGTCTTGGCAATGTATGTAGCATTGGAACCCAAGGTTTTATAATGAAGGGAAAGTGTCACATGGGATTCGTTTGTTTGTATTTTTACCCCGTAGTAGATGCTTCCATTACCGTCATCCTTCGCTATAATGAATCCATTCGTATTGGCATTGGGCATTACCCAAGCTGAGAATGTAAAGTTGGCAATTGTATTATTCCTGGAGGGATGGTATTTTGGATTAACAGTCCCAAATGCACCCTCTAGTCCGGTAAAGTACAAAGCATCCGTTCCACTGTGGTGACGCCGCATGTGCTGTTGTAAATGCACGGTGGTGGGGAAAATTCCAACCAGTAAAAAATCTATCATTGGTGGCAAACCAGCAGGGAACTCACTGGACAGTATTTCCCAGCCCAGTTGTACATCACCAAACACACCCTGCTGCCTCAAAATGGTGAAGTTGGTAATATAAGACATATCATCTTCAGACAGGACATCTTCTGCCACTTCTCTCTCTAAACACTCTGGATCCAAGATAAAAACTCCAAAGGGATCATCATTGAATGGAACCATTACTGTCACCTGGAGGTTGGTTTCTGCTAGCTGGCCCCCAGGACCTGGGGATCCACCTGTAACAAGAAAATTTATGAGTGAGAAACTAGAATTTCAAGTACTTTCTAGTATAATGTGAAGAAAAAAGAATTTGTTTAGCAGACAAACTTCTGGTTAAATAATTTACTCATTATCAATGAAAAGTAGTGTCACCATGTGGCTTTCACCACATTTTAGGGGCAGGATATGAAATAATATTTGTTCAGCATAATTTTATTGATAATCAGTCAAGCCTGAAAAGAGTATATGAATTAGAAAGGTTTAATTCTGTGCTTTTTAAAACCAAAAGTGATGCGAAAATTGATTGCTTAAATTATGACACAAAGATCAAGCTTTAAGCTACCATGAATCCTTACCTCCTACCTTCCACTAACGTCTTGTTGGAGACACTATAGTTGGTGTGGAGAAAGTCTATTTGCATGTTTGAGGATGGATGTAGGCCTCCATCCCTAAAACTGAACCAAACTAAGATATCAAAAAAGTGAATGTTAAGAATAACACTTGAAACAAGAAGGGTATTTTAACATTTAAAATCAGATAGTCATGACACAAATACTTCACCAATTGCATTTTGTATATGGCTCTAATTATCTAAGTATAAAATGTAAAATTTAGTATAAATAAGACATGGAAATAAAATAAGACATGGAAAAACACAGTACCTGAAATGTTTACAAGTTTTAGGAAATAAAATTCATTGAATTCAGGAATTTTATCTGGAAAAGCATGGAGAATGATTGGTTTTGCTTCTTCTCCATCCATGAAGTTAACAGTTCCTGAAGTTTCATAGAACTCCTGCCCAGGCTGCAAAGCAGAATCATTCTGAAAGAGCTGCCAAGATACAGAAACACTACCAAAGTATCCTCGGTGCCTCAAAATCCTACAAAATAAATTAAAGAAAATTTATAAGTAGTGAATCTTACTCTAATGAGAGCTTCCTGTGTTATTAAGGAAACATATTTTTACTATCTATTGTCTTAAAAGAAACAAACCAGCTGGTTCTACGAGGCAAACTATGAAGAATTTCATGGGAAGAGAAGAATAAGGTAGAACTTTAATAAAAGAGAAACAGTCATAAAAGTCTTGTCTTCAAAATCCAAACTGAAAGATAAATTCTAAGCTCCATCAAAAAATACTAAATGACAGTTGGAAAAAGTTTTCCAAAAGCAAAGTACAGGGTGGGGGTAGTCACATATCATCTGAGAGAAGAGTTCCTGAAGATCTTGAATAATTCAAGTTTCTCAGTCTCACAAAGGATTGAAGTTTGAACGAGGGGGGTGGGGAGAATAATTTCTGCTTACTAGCTAAAAGATTTTTTTTTTTGAAGATAAGTGGCAACAGCATAAACAAAGTTTACCACTCATTCAGACTGCCAACTTTGAAATTACTCAATTCTTAACCAATTTTTAAATTTTGAAGGAATATTTCAGAATTTCACATACTTAATGGTTTTATTTCACCCAATTTTAAACTTGCCTTATCTACATATGCTTACCAAAATGCATTAGTCTTTCCTTCTTCCACTGCTTTGTCTATGGGCTCCAGAGAAAAAATGCCATTTGGGTCATCATTAGCTTCAATTATTACTGTAGCTACTCCATATTGATATACTACTGTATCACCTAAATTAAAAGTGGAAAAGACAAAATAACAAAGAAGTAGCTAACTTGCTGTAAAATTTATACTTTTAAATTAAGAAAGTTTACAATTAAGTTGAAAATTTCAGCAAGAATTTCCTCACTGAAGGTCATATAATAAATGCAAAATACTGCTCCATATTTCCAAAGATGTTTATGTATACACACATAAGTACAAACATACATACAAAGAGAGAGAGAAAGAGAGATGCCTACATAATTTCAAGATGAAATAGTTCCCATTTTTTTTAGTTACAAATGAACTATTTTATTGAAAAACACACTTTTCTTCACAAAAGGAATATACCTTCAATAGCTTAATTAGAAATTAAAAACATAATTTCTTCTATTTTCAAATTTCTTAGGTGGATTCTTTTATTTCATACAAATAATAAAGGACTACCCAATAACATAAAAATACTACTGTCTGTGTTCATTGGAATCACTGGCTTGAGTGTTTCCCTTTACATCTCTGCCTTCAGGCAGCAAAGTTTGATCTGGTTGTACATAGAACAAAGTAGTCTCCATGGTTTGGGCTTGATTCCTTTCTACTCCAGTTCTTTGCACAGTATATTGGCACTGTTATTGCCTACACATTGGGTCTCTTCTCATCACTTCCCTGAAGTGCCTATCTCTTCATCTTTACTCCAGCTGTTGCACAGGGGAGCAAAAGTCCTTCCCATCTTCACTCACCTAACTTATCATTCCTGAGAACCCAGCTCAAGCAACAACTCTTCCAGGAATTCTTCCTTGAATCCCCAGGTTAAGCTAAGTGCCTCTCCAGTGTGCTCCCACGGCACTTTGCTCTTTGTCAATCTATCATAACAATGATCATATTATATTGGGACACACACACACACACATACACATACAGACATACACATAATTTTACTATAAGCTCATTGGACTAATGATTCTTATTCAATTCCATGCCCTAGAAAAATAGATGCTCAGTAACCGGTGCGCAGAATTTATTTATTGCTGAACTGATGCAACTAACACTTTCAAAAACAGATGTATACAACACCTACAGCTAAAATTATAGAAACAAATTTTATATATAGCAAACCAGCTTATCAATAAAAATTATACAAATATACAACTGTACTCAACTTCACTTGATAATTCAATGGAAAAAAGACACAAAAATAGCAAATCATTGTGTAGAAAACGCTGACAATAAATAAAGAGCATATAATAAAATCTAACAAAAATAAATAATAATAAAACCTAATTTTGGCAGGGTTCTATTATCATATGCATTTGTAATGAAACATGTCCCAGTGGTGCTGAAAATTCATTCTGTTTCTCTGCAAGATGAACTAGCAATATTTAACAAGGGCTTGAAGGATGGCCATATCCTTTGATCCAATATCAGAGCATATGCTCTAAATGATTAGCATCAGGATAAACAGCCACTGCCAGCACTAGGTCATGTCAGAGATGCTGCCTCTACAGTGTCCCATCATGGGTCCCACAAGTCCTTGATGTTTTGACATCGAAAAGGAGGAAAGAGCTAAGAAAGGATGTATTAAAAAATCACAAGCTCTAGAGATTTTTGTCATCTGAGCCTTCTTAACGAAAGTAATTGGATTCTCAAATGTCATCATTTCTGGAAAAATATTAAAGACAAATGCAGCAGCAGTACGAGGTAGCACACATACCTCAGGCCAGTAACCCAATCACATCTTGTGTTCTCCCTCTCTCTCTCTCTCTCTCAAAATCAAATATTAATAAATATATTTTCCCAATGACATATTTCACAAACTAACTAAACCTCTTTTTCAAGCGTCAATTTCTGGCTAGGCACGGTGGCTCACGCCTGTAATCCCAGCACCCTGGGGGGCCCAGGCGGGCGAATTGCTTGAGGTCAGGAGTTCTAGACCAGCCTGGCCAACACGATGAAACCCCGTCTCTACTAAAAATACAAACATTAGCTGGGTGTGGTGTTGCCAGCCTGTAGTCCCAACTACTCAGGAGGCTGAGGCAGGAGAATTGCTTGAACCTAGGAGGCAGAGGTTGCGGTGAGCTGAGATCACACCACTGCACTCCAGCCTGGGCAACAGAGTGAGACTTCATCTCAAAAAAGAAAAAAAAATGTCAGTTCCCCTACTCTTTACAAAAGGTTCAGGATGTTTTGATTCATTCACTATTTAACCATATTGGCGTTTTTTTCCTAATGACAGCTTAACCACAGTGATATTTTTGAGACAAAAATGTTTACCAGAATCACACTAAGTTAATAAATGTCATCAAGAACTTATTTCTAGAGTAAATAAATTCTATTAAGATAATATCATTTTTCACGCCTGTAATCCCAGCACTTTGGGAGGCTGAGGCGGGTAGATCACAAGGTCAAGAGATCAAGACCATCCTGGCTAACATGGTGAAAACCTGTCTCTACTAAAAATAAAAAAATTAGCTGGGCATGGTGGTGTGCACCTGTAGTCCCAGCTACTCGGGAGGCTGAGGCAGGAGAATCACTTGAACCTGGGAGGCAGAGGTTGCAGTGAGCCGAGATTGCACCACTGCACTCCAGCCTGGTGACAGAGTGAGACTCCGTAAAAAATAATAATATTAATAATATCATTCCTTCATCGCTTTTCTGTATTTCACAGTAAAACTTTGTTTTCCACTTTTACTTCACTAAAATTATTTTTATCTGTAGCAACTCCTTTCATTTAAATTTTAGAACAACGAATGGATTCACCAAATGTTTTTAGTCTACGTAAGATCTGACGATGTTTTTTGCAATTGTGAAATTGCCCTTGTGGGTTTATTCTACAAATTCAAATTTTCCTCACAGGATAATAGTTTTTAGTTTTAACTTCTTTGTTAAGCTGTGTGAAAAATGAGAGGCAGAGAAAGACAAAAGGAGAAAAAGAGGAAGCAGAATAGAAACAGAGACAGCAATGAAGAAAGTCAAAGAGATAGGGAGAATGAAAGACACAGCTAAAACAATAATTAAGAGATCTCTTTCTCTTCCTCAGTCTTTCAGTCCAAAAGGCACAAGGTGGAACACAACGTTGGCATTCCACTGGGGGTGGCAGACAGGGCATCATGGTGACCCGATGCAAACGTTAGAGCTCATGGGGGCATCTCTATAGGAGAAAATACACTAATGTATTTAGGGTGATAGGACATCATGTCTTTACCTTACTCTCAAAAGGTTCAAGGAAAAAAAAACTCCTTGTACTATTAAAAGAATAAAATAACTATCAAGAGAAGCCATAGGCCTTTCCAATTTACAGAAGGTAGAGCCAAAACATTCTCAAATCCCAAAGAGTGGGGTTAAAACATCCTGTTTCATTTACAGTATGGAGAAGGACGAACACATCTTTTTCACTTGCAGATTGTCATTCATTTTGGCCATGGCTCCAGAGAATTATCAAACAGTTGAAGTTAGCTGCCTACAGAATTAAGCTTCCCAATCAAGTGTGCCAGCACCCTGCTCCAAGGAAAATGCTACAGGATACCTATCCCTTAAGTCGCTGGGTGACTAAGCAATACCTAGGGAAGCCGTATTCCCAAGTCCTGTTACTTTTAGCTGTAAGAATTCACTTACTTATATATCAGAATTTTCTATTTGTGCCATATCATAAAGAAAAGGTTAAAAAGGATGTCATAAAGGTTCAACAAGTACATAAAGGTTCAACACATACATTCTTCACCCCATTTCTCAAGAAAGCAATGAAATAATTTTACTCTTGAATAGTACAAATGTAGTTAGGCCCTACTTGTCCTCATTATTGGACTGCAGTGCTTAATTTCATCTTATTAAAGCACTGAGGCAGATCTGCCATAAAAAAGCATAATTTACTTACCTGTTGAATTCAAGAGGATTATATAAAAGGGCTCATCTGTTTCCGGGATACCATCTTCATTAACAAATATGGATATGCTCTGCTGTCTACTTCCAACCTCAAAAATGAGCGTTTCTCCTTTTTCAACAGGAATGAAATCTCTCTCTCTTGCAGTAGCCTTCCCATCCTTGGTAGCATACTGGACCATGCAAGTCACATCAACAGATCCATTTCTGAGAACTGTAAAGTTGGCAGTCTCACCTTCCTGAACCCTCACTACACGAGGTTCTGAAATATCCACAAAGAAAGAACACATGAGCTTTTCTGATTCCATCACATATTTTCAGATCACATTGTGCTTCTCCCTGCCCTCCAAGAGAGAAGCCTTGTACTGTGTCTTTGCCAAAATAATTAGCTCTGTTCCCAACTCTGACATGACTACCCTCTGATTATTTCAACAGTCAATGGCCATCCTCTTGCCTTAATCCTACAAAAATCCATTATCTTCAACATCGAATTTCTCAGCAAATTGCATGCTATTTCAAATCCTCTGCTTACTATTTCATAAACCTCATTTCTAAGTTGAGGATGTAACTTCCTTGAGAACAGGCCCAGAGATCTTATGTTTTATATTTGTCACAGCAGTTACCAGAAGGTTGAACATAAGGCTAATTCATTAAGTACACATTAACTGAAGGTTAAGAATACAAATCAGGCTGGGCGCAGTGGCTCACACCTGTAATCCCAGCACTTTGGGAGGCCAAGGCGGGCAGATCACAAGGTCAAGAGATCAAGACCATCCTGGCCAACATAGTGAAAACCCGTCTCTACTAAAAATACAAAAATTAGCTGGGCGTGGTGGTGTGTGCCTGTAGTCCCAGCTACTCAGGAGGCTGAGGCAGGAGAATCACTTGAATCCAGAAGGCGGAGGGTGCAGTGAGCCGAGATCACGCCGCTGCACTCCAGCCTGGTGACAGGGCAATATTCCATCTCAAAAAAAAAAAAAAAAAGAAGAAGAAAGAAAGAATACAAATCAATAAAATACAAAAGGCTTACAAGATTCCTGCAATTCCTGCATTAGGTAAATTAACCCATATATAGCTGACAACAAGGATTCAAGAAAGAGTTACACAACAACCGTTTCATAAACAAAACCAAAAGATGCCTCAGGTGGCCAAAGACAGTTCTGAAGAAAGCGTTAAAGTGGCAAAACGAAGAAATTTTAATTAATATTTCCCTTAAAAATTAGTTATTATAGTGTATGGCCATCCATTAGGCATAATACTCAGGTCCTTCTAATACATAATCTAGCCCTGAACCAACTAGACTGTTTATTTGAAGAAATCACATGGAGAAGTGTTTTCTGCACAAAAGAAAAAAAAATACCGAGAAATCTGAAAGGGGGAAAAAGATAATAAAACAGTACTTATTTTCTTTTTGCTTCAAAAAATTTTTGAAGTATTAGTCAAAACTTCGAACAATTAAATAACAATCCTCGAATGAATTACAAAATCTTTAAACAAGCATCAATTGTGCTTTATTGAAAATGTTCAATGAAAAAAATTGCTAAATATATATGTATATAAATGTATATACGCACGTGCATATAAATGTATATATGCACGTGCATATATACATTTATATATACTATTTAAGAAATATGTAAACTCATTCAAATAAGACAGCAATACCACCTGCAAAATAAATGGGGTCATCATTTCTTCTAATCCTCAGAGTTGCAGTTGTTCTATTTCCCACTTTAGCTCCTCCAGTGCCATTCAGTAGGATAACGGTAAATTCTTCCATTTCTTCTGGAATCTTTGGAAAATGTTACACGTTTTAAGTCAGGTGACTTATACATATAAATTACATCATATATTCTTAAATTATTCAGTTTTTTTAAAAAAGCACCATTAACACTACCATTATTCATTTCCTTTTCGGAGGCAGAACTTCCCCTAACACATTCAGGTAAGACTCAGACCCCCCCAAAAATTAGTTTCATGTGCATTCATACAAACAGCCACTTCATTTAGACTAACTATGAAATTTAATGGAAATATAGATATTTTGCCTTATATAAGCTAAAAACTGATATACCACAGAGGTCATATTATTTCTGCAGGAAAATGGGAGACATGTTGATTTTTAAGATGAAACATAAAAATAACTTTTTGAACATTTAGAGCAGAGTTTAGAGTAACTAAAGCTCAGCCAGCTCACAAAGGCTTCTTACAAACCTTACTGAAGTTTTAACTGCATGGGTCATAAAGGCCTCACTCCATGTCCTAACAAGATTTGATTCCCCACATTTCTGAGCCTAAATGGATCCCCAGGTGGACGCTGTTTCTTTTTCACGTCATCCCTGTGAACTGGTGCTCCCCTCCCCCTAAAACAGAAAGGTATTCGAATTTTGTCTCTTGAGGAATGGGTCTGAGGGAGAGGGGACTGGCCTCCACAGCTGTTCTAAGTGTCACTCTCCTAGGAAAGGTTCACTTCCTGTTGTTATTAAGATCTTTCTCTTTACTATCTGTAAGAAGAAATGCCATGTTTGGTCCATGACTCATGCGACCCCGTGTCCCGGTGCTGAGACTGCACCACAGGACACTTGATAGATGACCTTGCCTTCAAAGGGACTAAATACAAGCCGAGGGCTTCGCCTCTCCAACTAAGAATCCCTGATACTGGATACATGAGCAGTGTCACTGACCACTCTCAGTTCTAGAGTTCAACATGTCTTCAGGGAAACCAAAACATAATACTGCTCTTCTGGTTTATGGTCAGACACTGTCACACCTGAGTTCTTTATTACAAACTTTTATCACAAAATATATTACCAGATGTTTAATTATTTAATAAAAAATAATTATTGATCAACTACAACAAGTAAGGCAGAAAGTTATATGCAATATTTACCTCATCTGGAAGGGAGTAAATGGTGATATTTTTTGAAAATTCCTGATCTCCAAAGACAACAGTCCCTTGTACAGGAAATACATCTTGTGTAAAGTCTGGACTAACCACCCATGATACACTAACATCACCAAAGTTGCCTCGATTTCTTACTACATCATAAACAGCTGTGAAATGGAAACATACATAATACATATGAAGACATACGAAACTTTTAAAATGATGAGTAAAGAAATCGGTTAAATAAACAAAAATAAAAACAACACCTCTTTTTAATAACTGCCAACTATTTGCTTAGCACAGTTTTTAAGGTACATATAAAAATATATTAGCCTGTTCCTCCCTCTGTAGGTATATAATAAATAAAGTAAATGGACTCATTTTTTTCTAGTTTGGGATTTTAGAAGTCAGTTGGCATGGGAAACAGAATGATGACGAATTAGGCACACCTATCATAAAGTCCTGTAAGGATATCTGCTAAAAGCAGTTACAGGAAGCTGCATGCTCAAGTGTGATTTCCTTATCCAGACAGACACTGCTCTAAAAATAAACTATTTATCATTTCCAGTCACCTCAACAGTTCCGTAGCAGTAGTTCTTAGTTTTAAGGTTCTCGCTATTTGGATGGACTCATTCTTGAGTGTTTGAGTTGCACTGCATATGCTTAAATGGTATCAAAATATAACTGAAGTCATCAGTATCATCACGATACTATGTAAGAAATAAAAATCATGGTCCTAAATATGATTCTAAAAAAAACTTCCGCACTATGTGTAATTTCTAAGGCAGGGTGAGCAACTAGAAATAACTAGTTACTAAAGAAATAACTAAAAAAATTATATTTCTTCTTCAGTAAACAGAAATACAATATAAGACACAGAATAAATTACCACTATAGATAGCATCTCCTTTGCTTTCATTTATCATCACAATTAGACCATCAGAAACAAATTCTATAATGCCATGAGGATCATCATTTTTCAGAATCGTTATATTGACAATGGTGGCACTTCCCAACTTGCTTTCCCGTTCTCCGTGGCTGCTGAGGACCACCCAGTAGTGTTCATCCAACTAAAGTGAATGTGTCAAAGTATGGAAATTATAAAGTTGACTTTTCACAACAAATTTAAAAACATAAATATTCAAGAATATTAATATACTCAAAGTTTCAGAAGCATATAACTCACTGAAAGGACAAAAGAGGTGGTATCATTTCTTTAAAAATTAACATTCTCCTATCAATTAAGAGACACCAGAAATACGTATACATTGTCCAAAAAGAGAAAAAGAGAAACAATGATACTACTCTAAAATGGTAAGAAAAGTGGATGTTATCTCTGATGATCTAGTCACTTAAACTTACAAAAGTGAATAAAATAAAATTAGAGTTACATATGTATTGGTGAGTAAGCATAATAGAACTATACCTGGTTCCATTAATATAAAACTCAAATTTCTTTTTTTGAACAAAGTAATTCTATAGCAAAATTTCTTCAGTTTAAAACCACATCATTAAAAGTTCAGTCAATACATATTACCTAAAGGAAGCCTTAACATGAATAAAGCTAAAAGGAGATGAAAACTGATCACACACTGAAAGTCTAAGATTGTTTGTTATTTCTTCATGTGGAGCAAAAATACACCATTCTAATATGAATGAGTCTTCATTTTTAAACCTTTTGTTAAAAATTTTCCAAATCTATGTACTTCTCAGTCTTTTCTTGCCCACCTCTTTCCTGTCTCTTTGCCAATATTCAAAATATTTATATTCATAATATACCAAATACTATCAATCTTACAGAGAAACACAAAGAAAATATAAAATCCCATACCTCTGGTATCCCATCCAATCTTGCTAGCAAGGTGATCACTATCTCCCTTTCTCCAGGTTTAAATTCTAGTACTCCCGTGTTTCCATAGAATTCATTGCTATCTCTTGGCTCTACTCGGTAGTGTAGAAACTGCTTAACAAGGGACCCCCTTGATCGGATGATGTGGAGCTCTACAGATTCTCCTTCCTTTAAAAACAAATCCACAAAAGTTGAAACCCTTTGAGATCATTCTTCTAAAGTTGTGAGCACAGAATAAATGGAAGTTTTTTTCGTACTTACTTTTATAACATAGGGTCCTCTGGAAGCAGGAGAAAATTCAAAAACTCCCCCAGGGTCATCATTTTCCAAAATAATTAGGTCACGGCTAGTATATCCAGATTTCAGCACTTGGTTTTCCACGTTAACCCTAGAGAAGTCAGAGAGACAAATGGCACCCGCTACTTCCAGTTTTACTTCTGAATTTTGCAGGCTTTTAAGGCAATATTTACAACTCTTCCAGATAATGAAAAGGAAGGCTATGAGGAATTAGACCTTAAGTGAATTCACGTGTGTTGAAATCATTTAAGATCAAAACAGTTTTACTCATAACAGTTATGAAAGAACTTCTATTTCTGAATTCATTACATCTTTTTTTATTTGACAAAAACCAAACACTACATATGTACACCAAGAATACTGTAACCAAATGTTATCAATATATTTTATTTATATAAAGCATCAAAATTTGCAGATTTGATTCCAGTTTTAGAAAAATTTAATTTGTAACATGTAGTTAGAAGATAGCTTAAAACAAAATTGTGTTTCAATTTTACATACACTTGAATTTATTTTTAAAACTCATTACATAAGATTATACTAACTGAATAGAGCACATAATAGCTGGATAACTAAATGGACTAAAGCAAGCCACGCTGATAAAAAATAAACACAATTGTGATTACATTTTAGGAATATGTTGTGGTTTCAAATGCCTTCTATTCTCCTTAATTTTAAACCTGTGCTTTTTTGTCTTTTAGTATAAAAGAAAATGTAGGGAATATAAGAAAAAAAAGAATAGAATAGATCTGAGATGCATGACATGTTATACCAATTCCTACGTATCTCCAAAAGAACATATTAAAACAACATGTTTTTTAAATTTCTGGTTTTAACGTTCAAAGCATAATTAGAATGATCAAAGGGACTTGGACTGCAATGTTCTGAGAGTTTAAAAGCCAGCAGGCTCTTAAGAATTATCAATCCTGCAAGCTGCTCTAAACCTTGCGAAATGTCACGTCCTATTGAACCAAAAATATATTCATGCTCAGACTTCAAATCACAATGAAACCACAATTCATATGTAGAAATATGTAGAAAAAAAGCTCACTTCCTATTTAACAGAGAATCTGAATTGTCATCCTTCCCTAGTTTTTAGAAATCTGATAATACTTAGCATGCTAGTGGCCACAGAATAGTCTAAATAATAGGAGAGTTATTTTATATTGTTAAAACAGTCATAATTTTCATACCAAATTTGTCCATCATTTATATCAATATCCTCATTAATTAAAATTTCTTATATCCACATAAGCTAGGAAAGAAAAAACTGGATCAGAATGCAAAATATAAAAATCCATTCTGAACATTAAACAAATTTATTTTTAAACTTTCTTAAAATATGCTACCCTTAAGTGAAATGCAAATTCTGAAAAGTTCTGTATACGGCTCTGAGATATAAGCAATAAATTGCTTAGATGCTCTCAGAAAACCAATGGAACCGTTCAGATAATTGATTGCTAATTCTCTGTTAAACAAGCTACAAGATTCATAAAAGACATTGGGTAAAAATTTCAGAAGTACAGCACAGTAATTGTTCTTGAGGTTATGTGGACCTACAAGGAAAGTTAAAAATTTTAAGTTCGTCTAAATGTCATTACACTAATTCTCAAATTTCAAAATACTTTAAATGCATTCACAGTGCAAAACTCTTAGGACCAAAAATAAATAAACAACTTTGTGTAAGCTCCCCTTATCATTAGAAAATGAAACTGCACACAAAGCATGCATGGCCAGGTGGACAAGCAAAATTTCCCAAGACCTGTAATCATGCAGAACAGCAGTCTCGTCCAAAAACAATCACTTGCAAAACAAAATACTGAATCACCAAAAACAAGGTATTATTTTGTACACTTACCCAAAATACACGACAAACCTTTCAGTTTCTACCCTGTCAACACAGAAAGAAGTGTGGGAAGGGGAAAAAGGAGGCAGGGCACCATTTGCTAAAATCTCACTAATACTGTGAGAAACTTAGAATGGCAAGGGAAAAATAAAGCTAAAGAAAGGCTTCCTTTTTTCCCAAGAGCTAGTAATGTGCGTTTTATGGGAACTCTGCACCCTGGATTCTTTGCTATTGACAAATGCTAGCAAGAGGTTCGGCAGTTCCCACTTATGGAAGATGACCCCATGGCCAGCAAGCTTGTCAAGACCCATTCAAGACATTCCTTTCCAGGCCTCCTCCAAGGCGCCTGTGCCTGCCAAGCACTGTACAGGCTCACAAACCACAGCAGCTGAACAAATTTCATTCAGCCCTGCTTATAATTACTTAGTAGCTTTAATTAGATTTAAAAAAAAATAAAAACCTTTAGTCTCAGATCTAAAGCCAGTTGTTCTTTGAGTTAGAAAAAACAAAACTGTGTAACTAGAGAAATCTATACCTATATCATTTGCACAGGAACATACTGAAGAAGCCATATCATTGCACCTTTTAATTCTGCCAAAAATTACTTAAATACAACTTGGCATCAGGAAACCAAAACACTTTTCCAAATCCACAGTGTATTTCATTTTCAAACAGCCTTGAAAGCACATGTCAAATGTAGAGCCCTAGAGCTTCATTTTTAAAGTCAAATGCACCATTTATAAATATAGGGTTATATACCACATACACCAAAATTTTTCTGAAATAAACTGGCATAATGACATTGTTTGTGATTTGAGGAAAACTAAATAGAATATTTTTAACCAGCATGTTATTTGAAAGCACCACAAGTTTTTTAGTATCAGGGCAACTTTTGTCTATATTGAGTTGAAATATAGAGAATTTGAACTTGGATTTGACATTGAGAGGAAATTATAAACTGTTATCACAATAAACTGTTAACTATTTTCATTGCAATATTGTGATGTGATTTATTGTAATCATGCTTGCTATCATTCATTTATTCTTTCACTCAAGTTTTGTTAAAAATTTGCAAAATTAAGAGGGAGTTTTTGATAAAATACAGTATCTAAATTTTATTTAACTAAATGTTTCTGAACACTCAAATGTAATTTGCTCATTCTTGTTCACACACAAATGAGATAATACAAGTATGCACCAATTACTAGTCAAATTAAAACATTTTAATATATATTTGAACTAATTTCCTCTATTTGAAAAGAACCAATAATTTCTGAAATTTTCTACCTCATGATTTGTACTTCCTTATGTACTTTTTTTACTATGTACTATTTTTACCCATAGGGGATAGAAAAAGAAGAACAAAATAAACCCTTAAAAATTATACTTAATTTCAAATGTTTACATAAGATTTAAAAATGAATAGTTAGAAAGAATATAAAGAATAGTCACTATCAATTTGCAGATGGATAGTGTAAATCATTCTTTAAACATTTAGTTGAGAGTAGAAACTGTCAGCTAAGCTAACAAAGTTTCTACAGATTCCCACAGCATTGGTTTATCATCACTGTTTCTGTTTCTTTAGTTGTTTTCAAGATTGTCCACTGAATGCTTACACCTTACTTAAGGAAAAAAACAAAAATGAAAAAAATAATTTCCAATTTACATTTCATTACATTTTACTGATTTTTTCATCGTATGAAATACCTTTTCTTAAGATCGAGTCTGAAACATATATTAAAACCATAAGTCATCTAGACTCTGTGTGTGTGTGTGCGCGAGCGTGTGTGTGTGTGTGTGTGTGTGTGTTGTAAATTGGTTTTTGCTTTTTGGTTTTTTTGTTTGCTTGGTATTTTGGTTGTTTTGTTTTACTCTTTATGTAAGAAAGGAAGTAAACACAACGTGGTTTTGAAAGAAAGCAAAAGGAACAGTGGACATTCAATAATTTGTTGCTTACATTCTATACTTTTCTTTCACATAAAAATAAAAATCAGTTACCCATCAGATTTTTAAAAATGTGTTTAGACAAAGCATCTACAAAGAAAAATCTATAAGACACTGTTATAGAGAGATCCATGGACTATATAAAATAACTTACTACTTTAGTCCTGAATAATGTAACACAAAATGTCCCTTGAATTTATCTTGAATTTTATTGTTTCTAAATATGAATTGCACAAAGCCCTCAAGTCACAGTAACCTTCTCTAATATGAATCAACTTTCATATAAAGAGACTTGTGTTAGGGATAAGACTGATTCTGATTTTTTAGAATTATTAAATCATTAAACACAGTATTTTATATATTTAGAAAGGATTTTCTGAAAAACTGAAAAAAAAAACTCTTTGAGAGATTGTGAAGTTTTCTTAATATAAATTACCCACTGAGAAATGCTGTTGATTCTTATTATTTATTACTGAAAAAGTATCTCTTAATTTTGTGCAATTTTTGATTCTTTAGAAAATAATCATAAAATTAATGTTTAAGTTCCATGTAAAAAAGAGAATTTTATTACATGAAGATTAATGTTTTCTTTTTACTCACAAGCTCTAGTCCTCTCTTCTGTTGAACATAAAGCCAGCAGAACTGTTTGCTTAACCTAACATTTTAGATTTGCTGGTGCCTATTTTTTTTTTAATATAACAACATATTAGCTATGTTTCATATTTATCTGATACCTTCCATAAATTCTCTCTGTAGTGCTTCTTCACAATGAAAAGCAGGGTAAAAATTCACTGAAAGATATAATTATACTCATAGTCTAATCAGAAGCCATCAACAAATAACAGAAAAGTCTGAAGGCCAGTATAACACTATTTACTTGACTTTTTTTTTTACTTTATATAGAAAAAAAAGAGTAAAAAAAAAATCAAAGTTATTGAAGAGAACTCAAACATAAATGATACTAAACATTACCTAAATGGGTTATTACCTGTCTAGAGAAAGTGTTACAGTTTCATTCATTTCCGGTATGTCATCACCTTTGATAGTAATGTTGATTGTTGTGTCACTTTGCCCAGATAAAAACAAAACAGAGCCATTAAAGGGGCCTATATCATCCGGGGTCACTGCTTTTGAATTAAAGCCAGAGGGCTTCAAACTCCAGTAGACAGTAGCCTGGCCATCAGTTCCATCCCGATGTAAGGGAATGTATACCTTATAAAAAGAAAAGAACAGAACAATTTCTTCTAAAATATATGTTCAGAAATTATATAAGCTTTGGTATTGATATTAGTTTGTACATATATTACTGTGTGAACATATGTATTCTATATAGAGAAGCGAACTATTAAATGCATTAAAACACAACCAAACAATCCTTTAAGCATGGAAATCACTTTAGATATATTTTTATTAATTTTTGCTAATCAAATTTATATACAAAACTACCCTCACCCAAAAATGTGTCTAATCTGGGTTTGCCTTAATAAAAGGCAAATATTTTAAAACCCAAAGAATTGTGAAAAACATACAGCAATCTTGCTAAAGAATATATTTCCATTAGAGGTTCTCTGAAAATAAAATGAACTTACTATCACAATATAAACTGAAAAATAAACTCCGGTGATTAAAACTGGAAAATTATCTCATATAAAATACATCCTAAGTGATGGGGGTAAAATTAAAAAAAAAATTCTAACCAATAGGATAAATACCACAGAAATAAAATCAGATATTTTTATCATGACTCTGGGTTACCTTGAGCAAGTTACTTAACCTCTCTGATCCTAATTTTCTCATGTGAAATAAAGCTAATGATTCCCTATTTGGCAAGTTTGTGGTGAGGATTAGGAATTGTTTAAGTAAAGTATCTAGGACAGTGCCTCTCCACAGTATAAGCTAAATAAATGGAAGCTATTATAATAATTCTGAAACAAATTGTATTTGGAGGTTTCATTCAAGGGCAGTACACTTTAAAAAATGTATAATAAAAGGATCGCTGCATATCATGATGAAGTTTTTTTCAAAGGAGGAATATAAAGGAATATTTAATGCTAGATTACACTATTCTTTTTATGCTCCTAAAAGAGGAGTATCCTGTTTTATTTTTTCTTTGCCCTTTAAGCTCATCTTGGAAAAAAAAAAACAAGACATTTTCTCCATTAATCATTCTGCTACTTCAGCTAACAATCGTCATAACCTGAGACTAGTGAGCAAAGATTCTTATAACAGAGGGCTGGGGCCCTGAATCACCTTGAGGGAGTGGGCATCATCCAGGCTGTATCTGGAACAAACAAAGGAAAACTCCTAGTTTTTCTGCTGTTTCCCAACAGGGAAGAATGCAGGTCCAAGGAGCCCAAAACTTCCTAAAAGCTAATTTTTCTTAAGGGAAAAATATGAAACGGTAAATTTACAGCTATCTAAGATAAAAGCAATCAACTCTTTAAGAGCAAACTAAATGCTTTTCCGTTTTAAGAAGAAAAGAGTGTATTCAGAAAAATATGAAAAATCAAAACCATCTTGAAAAATGAAACTTCTCTGTCCATTTATAGAAGCTAATATACAATGGAAATTGAGGTCACCATATTTTAACATAAGGCTTTGATAACAAAAACAGCTCTCCTTCTTTCTGATCCAAACCTCAACTAGGTTTAAATCAAATTTAAGTGTGGGGGACTTGGAGAAGGTCTCAGGGATCAACTATGACTCAGGAAATGGTAAGGCTGAAGGAAGAGCCATCCCTAAGAGAAAAATTCAACCAGGGCATGTCGGGGTGGGGGCAAGGGGAGGGATGGGGTGCTGTGCATGTGAACGTTTTGTATGTCTATATGCAAAAATTTACATATATTGTATATATAAAGTAAAAAATTCTTAAGATTTAGCATTCCACAACTTTACCACTATCATCTCCATCATCAAGCATAAGGCCCAACCTGGCCACCTCACTCCAACCCAAGCATATGGAATGCTCAGAAATGAAGTAGGTCAAGCACACCTGTGGTACCATGTCTTGGCCATTAAGAAAAAAAAAAAAAAAGGTTTATAGGCCAGGCACAATGCCTCATGCCTGTAATCCCATTACTTTGGAAGGCCAAGGGAGGTGGACTACTTGAGCTCAGTAGTTGGGGACCAAACTGGACAACATGACAAAACCCCATCTTTACTAAAAATACAAAGAAAAAATAGGCAGGAGTGGTGGCACAGACCTGTAGTCCCAGCTACTCATAAGGCTGAGGTGGGAGGATCTATTGAGCCCGGGGCAGAGGTTGCACTGAGCTGAGATCACGCCACTGCACTCCAGCCTGGGCGACAGAGTAAAATCCTCTCTCAAAGAAAAAAAAAAAAAAGTTTATGTTTGGCTACCACTGTAGTATCGAATGTCATAGAACTATCTGAAAGCTGTCACATCAAAATATCCGACACTCACTGTGAGCAATTAATTCCAATTTCATTCTATCTAATACTGTAAACGATGATGGAAAAATCACATACTCATCAGTTACCTATTTCAAATGACATACTGAAGGCTTCTTGTACATGCTGAAGCTTTTTAAGATGTTAACCCTATATGCTGATCTTATTTTAAAAATAGTGTCTGTACATTACTTCATACTCATTAGCCCCCATCAGTAAGAAAGAGCCTACTTACCACTTCAGCAGCAAAATCTTCTGGTTCATGCAAAATAATTGGAAGATTGCTGAGAAAGCCAATTTCTCCATTTGCAATGGCTGGAGTAACCAGTAAAGAAATATTGCAGATTTCCCCAAATCTAGGGCTTATGGGTGGGATTAGAGGAATTATGTTTAACAACTCCACAGTTTCCAACTATAATAAACAAATACACAAAAAGTAGTAAGAATTGATAGAATATAAATTTTTTAAAAAAGCTTAACAGCATGGGGTGACAAAGTAAGCGTAGGTAGAGGTCACCAATAACTTCGCAATGTTATTCTCCTCCTCTCTCATTCACCATCCCTTTTCAATCTCCTTCCCTGGCCTCTGGAGCTCTTTCTGCCCCTCAATTGTTATTATTCCCCAAGGGTCTGCCTAAACCCTTTATCTTATAATTTTATGCCTGCTCCTTAATAATCTCTGCATCTCTCCCTCTAATTCCAAATCATTATAACTAACTGCCACAGACATCATATAAATGTCACACAAACACCTTACATATACAATATCCAAAACAGAAATCACTGTCCCTGTTCCATGCCCCTTCACTAGTATCATCAGCAGTGCCACCACCTGCTTTTCCTCCTTGCCACCTACATCCAACTACCTTGACCTTAAAGCCAAATATCAGAGAGTCATCCACATCTCCTTCCTGTCTTCCACTGACCCACACTTCCAATCATCCCCCATTTCCCTTCTCCTCCAGACAAAATCCAGTATCAGAAGACTACTCAGAACTCCATTTATAACTTCATGCATCTTTACATTTAAAGAACTGCAATGTATAACATATAGTGTCCCTGCAGTTATACATTTTACATATTGCTGGTTTCTCATCATTTGATTCATTCCAGATTTTTACTTCCCAACAGGTCTGCAGAGCTCTTGTGGGTCTGTGTCCTTTTCAGCATTTTCCCAATACATGACGTAGGCTTGACATAGACTTGAAACTGCAGCAGCTTCACAATAAATATTTGTTAATTCCTCCCTTCTACACAATCTGAGCTCTATAAGAATTCTGATAAATCACAAACATTCAACGTCTTAAATATTCTAACTTTTCAAAACCTAACTTCTCAATCAATGCACACAGTGTTCACTTCAGGAATGCAGGAATAGGTAATCGTCACAGGACTGCAAAAACCATAGGAATTTTAAATATTAAAATAAAATGCAACTTTTAACTTAATAAAACATGTCTCTGCCACTCTTTAAAGCCCTCTGTTAGGCTTTATAATATTGAAATGATGACACTAAGTAATCACCAGTAGACCTGTGATTTAAATTGATTTTCCACACGTGGACAGGACTGGTACTGATTTCTCTCCTATTTTGCGATGGATAGTACATTTTAATAGTAAAAGTAAATGTCTTTTTTAAATGTCACACATTTTGCTTTAAAAAATCATATACAGGAGAAAGACATGAATAATTTTGGTTTTGGTAAATATTCATTTGAAAAAAGAAAAAAATTAGATTGATCAATTTTGTCAAGTATTGGCATATAGATGAAGCCACATAAAATAAAACGTGATCTTTAGTATACTGCATTTACCTTACAATGTAGATAAAATGTAAAGATAAATAATTAAAGTCACATAACTGTCATTCTTTCTAGAGAAAAGGAATATATATATATACACATATATATTTATTTATCTTACAAAATAGCACAAAGTTAAATAAAATATGTATATTTGAATGGTATATAAATATAAGGGTGTGCATTGTTATAAGGCAAAGATATTTCTAAAATACACTGGTCATGTATGACCAAGCACACATTCGTGAATGAACATTGTCATTGCTGTATATTCAAAAAGAGCTAAACTGATAATACTGTGTTAAGCATCAAGAAAAAAACAATAATTTTTACACAAAACTTTCTAAAAAGAAAGAAATATATAAGTCATATTTCCCTACACTTATCAAAAAAGTTATAGAATTAATCCTAGATATAGGATTTTTGACAAATAGAAAGAAAATGTAGATGGTTATGAAATGAACTGATGGAAAAGAAAATGTTAATTGTACAGGGCTTATTTCCTAGCCTATAAGCCTTTTTTTGTCTGTCTGGGTTCCATCTGCTAAATCAAACTGCTCTATTCATTCATAAAGAATCATTCTTTATTTCAGATAGTTTGCCACTGGGACAGCACATTAGTAACCCCATGCTTGCCAAAAGCTGCATCTCAGACTAACGTATTTAGCTGAGAGGGTTACTAAAGAATGAGGAGCGACTAAAGAATTCTGCTTTCTTTAGTTTCATTCAACTTTGCATGCAGAGGCTGAGGCTTCCTATTCTTGAGTTGCTCATCCATTATGTACTATGCAAACTACACAGCCCTCTTATTCCAACTAGCCTTCCAGAACCTACAGCTGTTTTGAACCTCAATGACTTGTGTCAGTGACTAATAATGCCTTGTTCACCCTAAGCAAGTGATAAATTAACTGCACTGTAAGACCTTTGGTTTTAACTATATAGATACATAAAGAATTGAGTCTGAAATTAGTGGTGCAACTTTCTAACCCAGGATCACCAAAAATCAGATATTAATTACATCCTTCTTCAACTTTTTTCTTAGCTTTCAAGTGTCATCAAAAATTAATTGTCATGTTTATATAGAATGCTGAAGCAGAGTAGCTAAGATAATATCTGACTTGTACAAAGTTCCTAATAAGGATGTATTTATACAAGAATTCTCTGCAGTTACTTGGATAGAAATATTGGACTTTTTCAAAAGATTAAAAGTTTAACATAGAGGATACTGATATTGGTACAGATTTTTTTATATATTAGCACAGTTTTTACTGTCCTTATCCACAGTAAAAACTAGTTTTGAGGCATTATGAGAAAAGACATTAGAAAGCTCAAATGATAACAAAAACGTTCTCTGTAACTCCAAAACAACATTTCTGCATCATCAATTCTCAAACTTCTATCACATCACTGCAACTACTCCACATATGCCAGAATGCCCAGGCTTCCATGAAAGCAAAAGCAACTGTGTAAAAATCTCTGTCTCATTCCACTTGTTTTAATAATCTGGTTCTTGCATGAGTTGTAGATTATGCAAGACTGGAGACAAACAGAAGGGAGAACAGTAAGACCAAAAAAATCCCAAAAAAAGCCCTTAAACATATACTTATGGGAATGTTCTGAAACCCTGAAACCTGAGGACACTGACAGCAGAGAAGACAAACAAGTGCTAATGTCAAAAAAATTCCATTAAATTCTGAAACTCAAAAAATTGAATCCCACACAGTCTTGAAACTTCAGAAATGCTACTCTAAGTGTGAACTGGTAAAATCAATATGCACTTCCATATTAATAAAATCAATTTTTAAAAGCAAACAAATTATGTCATGTTTTTGTATAAAGTCAGAGATTTTTTTGTTTGTTTTTGTTTTTAGTTTCTAAATATAGCTCTAAATGTGTTCTGGTAGCAGCATTCTAGTTGTTTTAACTTAATGCTCACAAGGGCCCAAGTCATGTGCGTGGCCATTTGCAGTATTTCACTTCACAGATCCAGACTCCCTGGCATCCACAAGCCACAGGACAAACCAGACACAATTGTGAATAGAGCCGTGTTCCCTATCTTTCCACTCCAAGAAAAATCCAAGGGTCCTCCAGAGAGTAAGTTATCCTCACAGGCAGAAGCTCGCATCACATGAAAATTTTCCCGCTTGGAGGAGACGCAAGAAAACAAAAATTAATAATAATAAAGATGAAGATCAGGATCTACTGCCATTAGTGTAGGGCTCTGGGGAAGATGGCAAATGCCTCCCTCTGTGTAGGTATATTACAAAAAGGTGTCGCGTACATACTGACAAATCCTACATCCCCGTAACAGGTCACCCACTAAGCCCCTTGGACAAGAGTCCTCGAAAAATGCCCTAACAGCACAAGTATGCCTGGAGGCTCAGCTTAAAAAAACGCGGGAGTCTTCAAAATGAAAACGGTCACCCTACCAAGTGCTGACACAGTCTTACAAAATTCAGAACACCAAGGAACAGTTGTAAAAAGCTTTCAGAGACAAAGATCGAGTTATCTAAAAGATAAATCATTTCCTTCCCTTCAAATTTCTCATCTGCAACTCTAGAAGCTTAACAACAATACCTTTCAAGTTCTGAAGAATAAATTATTTTAATCCAGAAATTTCTACCAAGCCAAACTATCAATATGAGTATAAAATTTCACATTTCAGGTGCTCAAAGACTCAAAAAGTTTACCTTACATATATACTTTCAGCACATTTGTTTGAGGGTAGATATACTACAACAAAACTACAGCATAATCCCAAAAGAGAAACGCAACAGATCAAGAAAATTCAGGAGCTCAGTAAAAAAATCCCAGACAACAGATGTGAAACAAGCACAGAAAGCAGTTAGTTTAGCTAAACTCAACATTCAACACACACAGGAAGACAGCAGCAAGATCTCAATAATATAGTGAAGATAACATACAGAAAAGGGACAATCAGAAACTCCAGAGAAAGGAATAATAAATCCATCATAAAACAAAATCAAGGCAAAATATGAAACATATTTAAATGTGGCATGATTCAAAGAAATTAGTGAAATAGAATATTTCATTTGCTATATACTTCAGTTGGCACAATGTATGGCAACATAAGATTTTAGCTCTTTCCTTGTCAGTCCATTCACACTACCTGATTCTGTATTTAATTGATTTACATAATTTAATAAGTACCCTTTATTGATTTAGAATTTTAAGTATCAAGCAATCAACACATGGAAAACAACAACAGTATCATAAATGAGTGCAGATATTTTATACTTTGGCCATAAAAATAATATTTTGGTTAACAGAAGAAATGAAATGTATAAAATGGAAGGATACGTCATGGGGACTTTACTAAACAGTTGAAGGTCCAGAGAGTCTACCTAGACAAAGAAATTGATTTTTGAGTATATTATTTAAAAGTATTTATAAAATTTTTCTTGGGCCAGGCGTGGTGGCTTACACCTGTAATCACAGCACTTTAGGAGGCTCAGGCGCATGGATCATCTGAGGTCAGGAGTTTAAGACCAGCCTGGCCAAAAATGGGAAAACCCCGTCTCTACTAAAAACACAAAAATTAGCCAGGTGTGGTGACAGGCATCTATAATCCCAGCTACTCGGGAGGCTGAGGCAGGAGAATCACTTGAACCTGGGACGTGGAGGCTGCAGTGAACTGAGATGCCGCCACTGCACTCCAGCCTGGGTGACAGAGTGAGACCCTGTCTCAAAAAAAAAGAAAAAATATATATCTCATATTGCTTTGTTTCTGAAATATTTTCCTTGCAATATTCATTATGAAAACATACTTATCCTACAAATCCTATTCCTATGTCATATTTTCCCAAATCAATTCAAAGCATGGTTAGCCTCTCTTTCTCTCGCCCTCCCCTGTAATAGTTTGTAAGTTACTCTACTATGTCATCCATGACAGTCTGACTTGCATGACTGGCATTTCACGTCTGGTGTACTTTTAATGTCACTTAATTAAAATATTAACTTTGGTAAAAATTCTTGTCTTATTTATACTTATATACCTTAGGAGCAGGCATAATCTCTCTTCCGACTACCTAAACAACTTTTAGTAACAACATATAAATGACGGCAAAATAACAAGGTCAAAATAATGTTCAGTTAATTCTTTCACACAGGTTAGTACACTTGAAGGTTAACCAAAATTACGATTATTTTAATCATACAAGTACCTGTACTAGAAAGTGAGCTCCATTTTGAAGGAATGCATCATTTCTTATTGGTAATTTTGTAGTGACTTGAGTTTTTTGCTCTGGAAAAATGAGGTCATTTCTCCTTGATATATTTAAGATGCCTTCTTTTGCTTGCAAGGGGTCCACAGCTCCAGCAGGAATGTAAAGTACAGAATAAAGCAACCTCACATCTCCTTTAGTCCCTCCTAGTCTTGTAAAACTCAAGGATAAGTATCGTTCACCTGGGCTGCTTTCAATCTTCTGGTTTTCCATAGGAAAAAATGTTATTAGGCCATAGACATCATCACTATCCTGAATGTAGAACAAAAGCTGAAGTAAAGGAATAAAATATTAAAGTACAGAATTCTCGCATCTGAGATGATCAAACTCTGTATTTTCCATGTTATTCTAATTTTAATATTTATTAATATTTTATGTCTAAAAATGATGACTTCTTATACATAATAGAGCAAAAGATGAACCAAAAACAGATTTGGAAATATTCCTAAATCACAGTTTGTGGAATTTTTTAGAGGGTAAAATATTTATTTTCAGAAGGAATACTGAGTAAGAAAACTATCATTTGCAAAGCCAGTGTTTTTCCTGTCCCTTCAAACTAAACATAAAGTTGATGTGTATGACCAAATTCTTTGGTTCTTGTACAGCACAGAAATATTAACAAGCATAAAGCATAACAAGGGTTATACCTCCGCTGGCTCGCTCACTTCTGCACCTCCTCGTATTGTATGAGGCAGAATTTGAAGTAGATAAGCTTCTGCCTCTTCTGGAAGATCATCATCAACCACAGTAAGAGGAATTGTTGCCAACATCTGCCCTTGTGCAAAATGGAGAACTCCAGAGCTCGGTCTGATATCTGCTGTTACTGGTGAGGGATCAGTGCTGTTCCGTGTCAACACCCAATTCGCAGAGACATTCCCATGGGTTCCTCCATTTCTAACCACTGTGATTTCTTCATATCTTAAATGTTTTAAAAGAAATACATATTGTCACATAGTACACTTTATTTCCCTTAGATAAGCTTTCCCAATGTCAAGTTGTCCATTAGACACTGATAAAAACAGAATCTATACAACAAAAAAATAACTGATTTGTTATTTTTGTTTGTTTGAGACTGGGTCACACTCTGTTGCCCAAGCTGAAGTGCAGTGGTGTGATCAGAGCTCACTACAACTTCAACTTCATGGACTCAGGCAATCCTCCTGCATTAGCCTCCCAAGTATCTGGGACTTCAGGTGGACACCACCACACTCAGCTAATCTTTTTATTTTATTTTATTTTATTTTATTTTATTTTATTTTGTGGGCGGGGTCTCACTTTGTTGCCCAGGCTGGTCTTGAACACCTAGACTCAGAAAATCCTCCCCCAAGCCTGCCAAAGTGCTGGGATTACAGGTGTGAGTCACCATGCCTGGCGGAAAAAAGTATTTTTAATATGAAGGTGTAGATATGTGAATGTGTCCTAGGGAACTACTATACTATGAATCATTTGCATAATTAAATCACACTCCAAATAAGAAAGAAAACAGTGAAGCCATGGTAGAAAAAATGACATATTCTTGTGTGTGTGTGTGTGTGTGTGTGTGTGTGTGTGTGTGTGTGTGTCTTTTCTGAGTTTGTCATGAAACTTTGTGGGAAAAAATGACACATATTCTAACAGTTCATTGTTGTGTCCAACACCACAAAACTTAAATCTGGAATAATATAATAAAATAATGGTAGCAATATATTTAAAATAAATCATACCTTGATATTCTATCTTCATCAATTATAACTGTCCTTTCAAACAAAACACTGTTGAATGAAAGGACTCCATAAGGTTTATCATTTGGCTTAATGGTGACTTGTACAACAGAAGGGCTTATTAGCACAGCATCTCCCTGTAAGGTATCTTTTAGTAACATAATGTGAAACGATTCAGCAATCTCCGGTATGGTGTCATCAACTATTTGAAATTTCAAGTGAGATTCATGAATAAAAGGTGGAAAAACAACAGTTGTGTTTGGCTGAAGATCAATGAAGTCCAGATTTTGCTGGGCATGTGCTGTGGAATTCCCAGTTGTGACAGCATAACTGATTGAAACCTCATATTCATCAGATCCAATCAGATTTCCATTGTTGTCCTTTCCACGAACTACTGGAATTATGAGTATGTGGTCTTCCTCAGGAACCAAATAAATACTCTGAAGGAATCTCACGGGACTATCATTTTTCTTAATGATGATCTCAATGGAATTCCTAGAGGTGTTAATCTCAGCTCCTCCTTCTACACTTTTCAGTTGAATTAAAAATATTTCATCATTTTCTGGTACCTGTTAAAGGAATATAAACAGAGGCAAAACATCAACAGCCAAAACACCTGCAAATAAACTAAAGTGTAACAAGTCATTATGTTTCAATACAATTACATAGAAATAAAAATTCTTTAACTGAGGGAGCAAATAGAAAGGCTTGTTTAGTCTCCAATTAATAAAATATTTTCCACAGGTAAATAATGTATTTTACACAGGAAAAGAAAACGTAAGGAAGCAATAGTACAAGTAATGAAGTCCAGGTATAATGTCTTTCAGCCTTAACTGGTCCTTAGATAACTCCAAAGATTAAACAGTAAAAAACTGTCATACATTTCTATCAGTTTTATCAGTTTGATATGCTTAGAAGTAGTACTGAAAGTCTAATAATACCTAAGAATCTGGAAAGTACGTTAAACATTACATAAAAATTGTTAGTTTTCCTTGTGAATTATTCTTGCTTTTCTCCAAATGGTTGTTAATTCAGGAGTTAAACACGTGACACCAATATATGCTTTTCAAGATACACATCATGCCTCTCTGGAGAAAAAGCTGTAAGAGTCACTACTAGGAAAAATGCTGACACTGTTAAAGTGCAATTTTTGCTTTTCATTTTTTTCTTTCTTTTTTTTTTCCTTTTATTTATGCTGCTGCAGAGAAATCTTGGGGTTAATCTCCACTGTGCTGTGTGAGCTTTTCATTCACCATAAACTCTATTTTAGAAATAAAAGTGAAAAAAATGCATGCTTTTACCTCCATCAGCAGCAATATAAAAAGCAAAGCTATTTATCTTAAAAATAAAATGTTATGATTCGATTGATCTTTCAAATTTACAATCAAAATGTATAATTAATCATCTCCCCAAATTATAGCCCGTTCAATGCTCTGAGATCTTAAAACAAAAAGGTTTTTTTGCTTGCTTCCAGAACCAGAGGAACTGGAGATATCAATGCTTCCAAATATTTCATTTTTTTTCAAGAGAAAAATTCTTTTCTAATAATGTCTTCTAATACTCTAATACATTTTTTCCCTTCTCTTGAGTTTTCTTGTGATTTAGTTTCAGAATTTTTGTAGGAGGGTAGAGGGAGGGTTACAAATTGCCAGCTATTTTCTTTTTGTTTTCTTTTCTGGCAAAACTTAGTTTCTTTTATAAAAAGTCATGTTTTCTCTCGTTTAGCTCATGTGGGGGACATCCTTGCACATTATTGTTCAGATTCATTCTTAGCAATTAAGCTAGGTGTATCATGTATCTCTATCCTTGCTAGTTCCAATGTGAAATATAAAAATAATAAAAATCTTCCCATAAATGTGAACATTAAAAATATCCAAACAAGCCGGGTGCGGTGGCTCATGCCTGTAATCCCAGCACTTTGGGAGGCCGAGGCTGGTGGATCACGAGGTCAGGAGATCGAGACCATCCTGGCTAACACGGTGAAACCCCGTCTCTATTAAAAATACAAAAAATTAGCCGGGCATGGTGGCAGGCACCTGTAGTCCCAGCTACTCGGGAGGCTGAGGCAGGAGAATGGCGTGAACCCTGGAGGCGGAGCTTGCAGTGAGCCGAGATCGCGCCACTGCACTCCAGCCTGGGCAACAGAGCGAGACTCCTTCTAAACAACAACAAAAAAATAAAAACAAAAGAATACCAACTGCAGTAGAATTTTTCTTTGCTTTTATGGTAAAATATTTATTCTAGGTTAGTATTGTTCTTGCTCAAAATTGAAAGCACTAACAAAAATTGATTACCAGGGTATACAAAATGCTTAAATATTTGTATGATGTATGGTTGCCAGTTATATTCAGATTCATCAGCTTTTAGATGTGTAATTTAATGTGAATTAAGTAAGATAAATAGTAATAAGATGTATTCCAGAACAGTCAGCTATTTATAGCTGAGGTGCGACTGGCCACAATACACTAAGTTTATACAGGACTGTGTCCTGCAACACAGAATCCTTGTCCCATTTGGGTATGTAACATTAGCCAACCTCGTCATCGAGTACTGTCAAGTTATAAATTACTGTTGCTCTGCCAGGGGGAAAGGTGATATTTCCTTTAACTGGACTCAAATCTTCATCAGGGGGATTTGGGCCACCCTCTACCTGCAAAGAAACACAAAATGCCATCAATAAATGCAAAATACTTCACAAGACTGAGAAAGCATCATTGTGATGTCAGCTGACAAAAATCTGAAGTTTAAAGATGTTCTGCAAGAATTACACTAACCCATACATCATTCTGCCCTTCAAATTAATAGGTCCTATAACGTAATTATAGATATTGACTATAACTGCATTAAACTACGTGGTTTCTACGAGCTGTTTTTTCTCAACCATTATGTTAAACCTGAGGGGAAAAAAAAAACTCTACAAATATTTCTTCTTGGAAGAAAGGGTATTCAAGATTAGTAAATTCCCTCAAGTAATACCAGTATTTTCCACTTCACAAGCTGGATGTGAAGATGTGAAGAATAAATAAAATCATTCATTTAAAAAAGCATTTGTTGAGTACTCTATGCTGCATCTCTTTTAGGTACTAAAGATTTAGCAGTGAACACAGCAAATTCCCCTCCATATAGTCCTGACATTTAAAGGAAGGGAATAAATGATAAATAAATGAATGGGTATGCGTTAGATGATAATAAGTATCATAGAGAAAAAATTAAGAATAGCATGAGAGAGATCAAGTGCCAGGGAGGGGTGCTATACGTATGCAGTAATAATCAATATAAAGCACTTACAACAGTATATGGCAATATTAAGCACTCCAAAAATGTTACTTATAATTATTTAAACAAAAAACAGGCTACAAACCTGATAAAATAACTTTAGACATCCATAGATAAGTTGAAAACACTCTACTCTGGATGATTTATCCTTTCTACAGCCAATTATTTTCTAATTTTTCCAATATTTATCAGAAAAATTTTCAAAAATTTATTGTCTAAATGCATATTCCTAAGTACCTGAAAAACTGTGTAATGCTTCCAGTGTAAAACTTGCAAGACTACTGCATATTTAGTTAGTGTTTACTGTGTTTTTCATGCATTATTGTCTTCTGCTATTCTATGTTCTGTGTAGTTAACATAACTACCATATGATGTGGACACCCACAAGCATGAACAGAACTCTTCTATGCTACCATAGAATTGTGTTAAATAAATATGCTTCCATTTTATTGATATTACAATTAATAATTAGGAAAGAAACTGGTATCTGAAATTGCTAATACTCTAATGTTTGAAAATAGTATATAATCATGTTGTGGATCCTAAAAAACACAAAAATTAGTTGAAGATTTAAATGTGTATCTCATAGAACAGCAATGTGGTGACACAATGATTGGCACATGGTCAGTAAGCAATCAAATAAAATGATTAGAGCTAGCCCCTGAAAAATACACCTCACCTACAGCTTATCATATTCATGCCACATCCTGTAACATTTATGGATTCCCATGGTGGAGTGCAATGGCTACAAACACCATCCATTTGGTGTACTGAAAAAAATGGGGGGCAGGGGGAAGGCATGGTGGGTCATGACTGTAATCCCAGCTCTTTGGGAGGCTGAAGAGGGAGGATCATTTGTGCTCAGGAGTTCAAAACCAGCCTGGGCAACATAATGCGACTTCATCTCTACAAAAAACATTAAAACTTAGCTGGGCATGGTGATGCACACCTGTACTCCCAGCTATTCAGAATGCTGATACAGGAGGACTGCATGAGCCCAGGAGGTTGAGGCTGCAGTGAGCCATGATAGTGCCACTGTACTCCAGCCTGGGCATCAGAGTAAGATCCTGTCTCAAAAAAAATAAAATAAAATAAAATAGAGAAAGACAACATATTAAATAATTTTATGTAAACCTAAGTAATCCATGGGTATTTTAAAATTTCCTGTCTTTGAAAACATTTATCATAAAAGTTCCATGAATTTTATAGAATTAACATTATTATTCTATCCTATGATTTATTTTTCCCACATATCTAAAATGTTACTTGTATTTCATGTAAGCATTGTATACACAAGCAGCAAGGAAAACATTTTTATATTAATCATGAAATGTATCAGATCAGAAAAGTATTCATCTTTATTTTAATTGTATTGTGTCATGTTTATTATACAAGGAACTTTGATTTTCAAAATTGCAGCCATCTGGTATGAACCCCAGTGTTCGCATTTAAAGTGATTTCAGGGCCGGGTGCAGTGGCTCACGCCTGTAACCCCAGCACTTTGGGACGCCAAGGCGGGCGGATCACCTGAGGCCAGGAGTTCAAGACCAGCCTGGCCAACATGGTGACACCCTGTCTCTACTAAAAATACAAAAATTAGCCAGGCATGGTGGCACATGCCTGCAATCCTAGCTACTCGGGACTCTGAGGCAGGAGAATCACTTGAACCTGGGAGGCAGAGGTTGCATTGAGCTGAGATCGCACCACTGCACTCCAGCTTGGGCAACAGAGCAAGACTGTCTCAAAAATAAATAAATAAAAATAAAAATAAATAAAATAAAATGACTTCAGAGTAAACTTACCTCAAAAGTCACCATGACCATTCCATAGGTTCCCTTTTCCCTGATGAGAGTAAGAGGCATAGACTCATTTCTGCCCTTGGGCTCACTCACTGCGATTGAGGGAAGCTATTGAGGAAAGCAAGCACAGATGATCAGGAGCTGAGCAATCAGAGGTATGAGGCGGTAAAAACTATTACCTCAGAAACGCTCAATTTCCACAGACACATCAATCCACACTGTACGATAAGAATGTGATATTTCCTAGCATCAATGAACTATAGCTTTAAAATGCTGAAAAAGTTAAAAAGAATAGTGTAAAGGGAACATAAAAACTAGTCAGGCAAAAGATGTGGTTTCTTGTCCTGGTTCTACCATCAACTAGCTGTTCTGCTGAGGAATTTAAAGGTTTTTTAGTTGAAAGGTGACAAACTCAAATGCTCACAGGGGCCCAGGAGGTCACAAACATGAATTAAGCCTCCAGACCAAGGCAGCAGGTCACTGGGACCACCACTTGGCCTTGTCCACAACCACTCTTTCTCCACATCAGCCAGCTTGTCAGTGAAAAGCAGACACTGCTAATAACTTTCAGGACAGGATCTCTGCAGGAGGTGAAAGCAAAGACTTCAAAAGAAATATGCTGGTTCAGCTGGTGGAAACTCAGGGTAGAAGAGGAGGAACACGGACACAGCCAAGTACATACAGGCTACAGAAGCAGCTGCCAGCTCTCAGGGTGACAGCAAAACTCAGTAGCCCCATACATAACTGGGGTTAGCAATGTCCGTCTTGAAGGGTTGTGATGAGGTTTCAATGCGATAGTTCACATCAAGTGCTTATCCTAGTACCTGACATATACTGAGGGCACAGTAAATGTTGCTATTATTATCATCATCATCAATGTCATCTTCACTACCAACATAATCATCCTCAGGGCTGAAAAGCAAAGCCAGCCTATTGAGCACCACCGTGAGCTCAATGGTTATTTAGTTTAATTTTAAGGATGTCAGAGGCTGCCTGGCAGCACTGAGACCCCCACCAGTCAGGGACCTAGGACCCATGACAGAAACTAGGATTCATTCCCATAGGCTAAGATATATAATGTCAACAACAACAAAAGAAACCTTTAAACAAATCAGTATGAGGTCGGAGGTGATACACAGAGAGTAAGTGTAGCAGGAAAGCCACATGGAGAGAAATTTAGCAATTAAGGGAGCCTGCTTCATCATTAACAATTCTTTATCATTCAATTCCTTATCATTCAAATAAAAGAGATGGTTGATTAATTAACTTAATGTCTGTAAATGACAGTATAATGGAGGTTACCGAATTTCTACTAAACTGAGGTTGGCCAAATACCCTTTTTAACAAAGATACTGCACTATAAAGATCATATTTACTTATAGCCCACTTCTTTCAAAGATAAGTTAAGGTACCAAGAAAATGACATACAATACAACCAATTGTAGTAGCAATCTAAAAATAAATGAAAAGCTGGGAAGTATTGCAACGTGTTTTATTAATTATAATTAGTAATGTGATTCAAGGAGACTCCGAGTCAGGAATGTTACTGGAGTCTAAAATTTAGCGACCAGATTCAGTTGTATTGGAGATAAACTTGGTTTTAGGAGCTGGAAACAATTTATCTCAAGAAGGGCCCTATTTTGTGTATTTGTTTCTAAAGATAAAACTCTCTGATCACAGGATTGGCCAGAGCCACAGGAATTCAGTTAAGGAACAGAAAATACACTATTGAGCAAAGGTGAGTGAAATGAAAGGAAGTTTCAATCTTCAGAAAATATTAATTAATGGGAAAACCTAAGAGTTGGGATGACTACAGAATTTTGAAGAGATGTAATACCTGCTATTCAATTTAAGTTCATAGTAAGTTTTTTGAAAGTAACTGGCTAGCCATATATGGAAAGCTGAAACTGGATCCCTTCCTTACACCTTATACAAAAATTAATTCAAGATAGATTAAAGACTTACCTGTTAGACCTAAAACCATAAAAACCCTAGAAGAAAACCTAGGCAATACCATTCAGGACATAGGCATGGGCAAGGACTTCATGTCTAAAACACCAAAAGCAATGGCAACAAAAGACAAAATTGACAAATGGGATCTAATTAAACTAAAGAGCTTCTGCACAGCAAAAGAAACTACCATCAGAGTGAACAGGCAACCTACAGAATGGGAGAAAAGTTTTGCAATCTACTCATCTGACAAAGGGCTAATATCCAGAATCTACAATGAACTCAAACAAATTTACAAGAAAAAAAATACTCCATCAAAAAGTGGGCAAAGGATATGAACAGACACTTCTCAAAAGGAGACATTTATGCAGCCAAAAAACACATGAAGAAATGCTCATCATCACTGGCCATCAGAGAAATGCAAATCAAAACCACAATGAGACACCATCTCACACCAGTTAGAATGGCAATCATTAAAAAGTCAAGAAACAACAGGTGCTGGAGAGGATGTGGAGAAATAGGAACACTTTTACACTGTTGGTGGGACTGTAAACTAGTTCAACCATTGTGGAAGTCAGTGTGGCGATTCCTCAGAGATCTAGAACTAGAAATATCATTTGACCCAGCCATCCCATTACTGGGTATATACCCAAAGGATTATAAATCATGCTGCTATAAAGACACATGCACACGTATTTTTATTGCGGCACTATTCACAATAGCAAAGACTTGGAACCAACCCAAATGTCCAACAATGATAGACTGGATTAAGAAAATGTGGCACAATACACCATGGAATACTATGCAGCCATAAAAAATGATGAGTTCATGTCCTTTGTAGGGACATGGATGAAGCTGGAAACCATCATTCTCAGCAAACTATCGCAAGGACAAAAAACCAAACACCGCATGTTCTCACTCATAGGTGGGAATTGAACAATGAGAACACATGGACACAGGAAGGGGAACATCACACACCGGCGTCTGTTGTGGGGTAGGGGGAGGGGGGAGGGATAGCATTAGGAGATATACCTAATGCTAAATGACGAGTTAATGGGTGCAGCACACCAGCATGGCATATGTATACATATGTAACAAACCTGCACGTTGTGCACATGTACCCTAAAACTTAAAGTATAATAATAATAATTAAAAAAAAAGAAAAGTATTCTTTCAATATGCTTTCTCATCTCCCATTAACTCCAAACTTTCAGAAGAGTCTGACAAACAAACAACACTTTCTTTAGGTGACATTTGGGGAAATCAGGAAAAGGCAATGGGTGGTATATCTGAGTTAAAGACAGAAGAGTTAACAAAGGAGTCAGGTGGAACAATCAGCAGAAAGAGATTAGGACAAAAGATGACCACGATCATACAAGCGTCCTCAATTCACAAACATCTTAGGTAGAACAAATGAATGGTCTACAGAATGTGAAACAGGGACAAAGTTAAAGCAAATTTTATTTAAATATCAAAACACAGCATGATACTAGCTAACATCATGAAAACTAATTTTTAAAATTTAATAAACTATTATCTAGCAACCACAATTATCATCAAATTGTGTCCATACCATATTAAATGAAATAATTCCAAATGCATTGTCATTTGATAATATTGTCACAGTAACAGTCCTTGGCCATCCAAGCTTCACATTTGCTGAAGGTTTCTAAAATAAAATCCCAAAAATAAAATAATGAATTAAAAATAAAATAATAAGTTAAAAATTTATTTTTGTAGAATTTGTCTTCAAGTAGTTATTCAGAATATAATAAAAATACATATGTAATCTTAATGCACAGATTAAGTAAACATTCTAATTACATCAATATGGTTAAGAAGTTCCAAATGAAAAATTTTCAAAAAAGTTTTGAAAACCATTAGTCACTGACTCTTAATAATATATGATAGTATAATTATAAATAATCACTGGCTAATAATACTATATTATAAATTAGTTATAATTACTATGTTATCACTAATATAACAGAATTAAGTACACAGTACAAAATTCTATTCAATGTAATTTTTCCTATGCTATTGAAGGTACTGGAACTTTAGAATTAGTTATTCTATGAATCACAGAACCAAACTGAAGATAAAACATTAAAACTGTTTATAAAATGGAGAGTTTTCTGTAACATTTGTACTGATATTCAACAGCAGCACAAAAGTATATTTTTTAAAGAATGATTTAAAAGAGCAAAACATAACTGTTTCAAGTGTAATTTTCACAAACATTTTAATGGTAGTGACACAATTATTCAAAAAAAAATTCTTAATGTTCTTTAGAAAAAACAACCAGAATGGTGTTAGCGAGTCATTGCCTCAACCTAATAAACCAAGCCATAAAGTTCAATTAAACCTAAGGCTATTCAGGTTTTTCTCCCAGCGGTACTCTGAATTTAAGTCACAGGGACCTCCCACTTCCATGCCCGCTTTTTGTATTCTTGTCCTTTGATCTCAGAAGTCACAGTCATTCTTTGTACATTTGGTAGCAGGGGAGGAATAAAAGAAAAAAAGGCCAAAGGGAAGGCAAAGTTTTCTGGAGCAACTGTCATGGCAATTCCCGAGTAAGCTGAATGGATCCAAAAACTACCTGCAGAGTTTCTGAACAAGATCAAGGAATAACCAGATTGTGGAAGCGCTGAAGAGGTTGTCAGTTCTGGATTCTATGAATACCACCACCAGTTATCTGAATTGGCTCATCTCTAGATAGATAGATTGTTAAGCACTAAAAGATTTTTATAAGTTTTATAAGTCCTCCTTATAATTTTTATAAGGAGGAAACACGGACTTACCTGTAATGTTAAGTGAAAAATAAAAGTTTCGTCAGGCTCTGGTAAGTCATCATCACATACTGCTATGTACACTGTTCTGTTTGTTTCTCCGGCAGGTATAAAAGCTGCAGCATATGTGTCAAAAAAGTCACCAGCGTCCTCTCCATACAGCTATCAAATGCAAAATATAGATCATTCTTATTTAACACAGTATTAGGACAAGTAAAACTGATGTTAATTACAGCAATCAAGAGAAAAAGCATAAATCAAGTGACATTTATGTTTATAGATAGGGTGTACAAAAACAAAAATCATAAATATTTAACAACTGAAAAAACTTATCTTCAGAAATAAACAAATGATTCCAGGCCAGGCGCAGTGGCTCACTACTGTAATCCCAGCACTTTGGGAGGCCGACACGGGCGGATCACGAGGTCAGGAGTTCAAGACCAGCCTGGCCAATATGGTGAAACCTCATCTCTAATAAAAATACAAAAATTAGCTGGGCGTGGTGGTGTGTGTCTGTAGTCCCAGCTACTTGGGAGGCTGAGGCAGGAGAATTGCTTGAACCCGGGAGGCGGAGGTTGCAGTGAGCCAAGATCGCACCACTACACTCCAGCCTGAATGACAGTGCAAGACTCTGCCTCAAAAAAAAAAAAGGAAAAAAGAAATGATTCTAAACAAAATCATTTGTTCATGCTGTGAAACGAAAACAAATATTACATAGAAAAAGAATTATATAGGAAAGCAATTATGTGAATTTTTTTCTCTGCTCTTGATTGATCTGGAGTAGACAACAGCAAACCTAACAATAAGACAAATTATAGCTAAAATTCTCAAAAAAATGTTGTATATATGCACAGCTACACAACAGAATATTATTCAGCCATCAAAAAGAATGAAATCCTTTTATTTGTAGAAACATGGATGTAACAGGAAGTCATTATGTTAAGTGAAATAAGCCAGGTGCTGAAAGATAGATATCTCATGTTCTCATCCACATGTTCTCATCCAGCTAAAGAATGTGGACCTGATGGAGGTAGAGAGTAGAATGGTGGTTACCAGAGGCTGAGAAGGGAAGAGGTTAATGAAGATAAGTTGGTTAAGGAGTACAAAAACAGAAGGAATGGGTTCCAGTATTCGATAGTACAGTAGGGAAATTATAGTTAACATTAATTTATTGTATATATCAAAATAGCTAGAAGAGAGGAATTATAATGCTTCCAACACAAAGAAAAGATTAATGTTTGAAGTGAGGGATATTCCCCTAATTTGATCATTGGGGATCATTGGGGATATTCCCCAATTCCCCTAATTTGATCATTACACATTGTATACAAATATTAAAATATCACATATACCCCCAAAATACGTACAACTATTATATATCAACAAAAAAGAGAAAAGGAAAAGAAAGAGATGTATGTGGCCTGCCAAAAACTGTGTCAGGAAAATCAATTATTTCCCTATCAGTTTCAAAGAAACTGCTCTTTCCCAAACTCAACCTAAAGTTGTACTTATATTCTCCCACATCTCCAATAAAGATCTAATTATTTTAGCATTTCAAATGTTTTAGTCATCATAAACTTTTCCTTAACTTTTTAGGATCTTATTCTGTGAAATCAGCATTACTGGTAAGATTCTCAGTATTATTAGTAAGATTCTGCATGAGCTTGTGCGATCAAAATGAGATCTCTTTCACGAAAGAGCTCAAAATGAGTAATTAAGCTACTAGAAAAAATATTTGATTTAGTACCAATAAAAATCATGTATAGGGAAATTTTAGTCAATTTCTAGTTCTCATACATAACAATAAATTAAGTTTTAAATACTTGAGAAATCCAAGTAAGTTGTGAAGGGTGTTGGAAAATATACCTTACTATAGAAAATGACACAAGCTTTAAGAAAGAGTTATCAAGAGCCACTGAAACAAACAGAAAAGCACAGTAATTCAGCCTATGAAAATCGTTTAACAATTCGAAATAGGTAAAAATCAAAATATATGTAAACAGTTTCACCAGAATAACATTCGTAACTGTAAAAATTAGAAGCAACCACAATGAAAAGGAAGAATGATCAGGAAGTAATTACAACACCATTAAGAAAAGTTGTGAAAATGATAAAGGAACCTGAAAAAATTGTTAGGATTCAATCAAAATTTTATGAAAAAGATTATCTCATATAATGTGTACTCTAAAAATAATTTCTATATATAGATATATGTCACAAATAACTAAAATTATAGCACTGGATTCGTTCATAGGTCATTTTTCTTCATCTTCTCTTTTTATAATATTTCACAATGTGATAATTAAGCCTATTTCTTAAGATTTTATTTTTGCAAACAAAAAGTATAAGTACTTTGAGACTCAAATATAGCAATACTCTTAGTGGTCACATGACATAACTTTCTGGTTAAAAATAGACACATACTTATGCACACACAATCCACCCAGTAACTAAATTGTGTGCTAGATAGATCAATAGTTTAACAAATTCTACCCAACATTTACTTAAGTTAATATACTTAATTTTTCCCACTAAAAGAGCTCTTGGACATAACTAAAGTTTTTTTTTACTATTGTCGTTTCTCTACTTTTAAATATTCCATACGTTTTCTCTACACCACCTTACAATAGATAGTATATCTGAGCAGAGATAGCTACAATCCAAATTACCCAAAATGAAAAGTTCTTGTTCTAAAATAAATATATGAACACTACAAAATGATCAGTCTATATCTTTAAAAATAGTACTGTTAAATATACATGATTATGTTGGAGCACTCTATAAACCTGTAAGAGATAAAAATGGAATAGCATTATCTGCAAATTATCCATCATTTATCATAATGAAACTGCTCAAAATCTCAAACAGAAAAAAAAAATCCTTGCCATTAAAACTAAGAAACGTCATATCTATTTCAGTAAAAATAGAGCTATAATAATTTCTTACCGATACAATTGCAGTAACATTTGCTGGCTCTCCTATCCTTTCAATGATAAGACGAATAACTGTTGTACTTGTTTCATTAACAACAAATTCAGTTTGTCCAGTAAATCTTATTTCTGTTTCTCCAAACACAAATAGGATGAGTAAAGCTGAAAGAAGATTTACTAATAAAGATGCAGAGGGCATCCCTAAAACAAAAAGAAAAAAATATTATTCACAAAATATATCTAATCTATTCTCATTAGATTGTATTGTCTATAGATATAAACATAGTATGAAGAGTTAGACAGCAAACAACTAAGACATAAATACATCTACTATTAAGCCATCAAACTCAAATATGTGACGACAGAAGTTAAAAAAACACGATTCTATTCTTACGGTTCTCTTTCTACTATTCAGAAGTACTTTTTGCTTTTTAGCTTCTATACCAAGATAATAGCTGTAAGTTAAACTTACTTATTAAATTTAGTTCATGTAAAAAATTTATTGACATCCACATTTTAAGAAAAACCTAAGCAGCAACATGGAAATTTAATTAAAGCCCATATTTACACAAATAAAACTACGAAATACCAGCCAAAACTGAAACAGTTGAAGCCAAATTTTTAGCAATAAATTGATTTCTTGGTTGGTGTCTACTTTTTCCTTAAACTTGTCTTCTTTGAGAATTTTTTAAATTCTTAGTTATTGCAAAGAAATTCTAATCCTTTCAAAGAAGGGATAAATTTCCAGGACTTAAATTTCTTTCATTTTACTAGCTAAAATACTAAGACCACGTCTAAGAAAATGTCCATGTTGCTTTAAATTTGCCAAAGTATATATTTCCTTTTTTTCCATGACAACTTTCTTTTTTTTTTTTTTTTTCACTATGATATGTGTGTTTATGAGTCATCAATACTGTTCCTACTTTCAGCACTCTGGGATTCAAGTGCTTTCCAAAGCACAACAGTGCAGTGGTCTCCTGAAAGTGCTGCTGTTTTGTAATGTAGATATACCTCTAAAAATGTGAACAATTTCCCTCACGGATCATTAAGATTCCCGTGGATCTATGTGATCATTCACACGAACATAAAAAGTTCACGTGTTTTAAAGGAGAGCTGCATTACATACTCTATGAGCCAAAATGCTTCCTATTAATCTTTACCTTGGCCAAGAAGTAATACAATTTTCTTGTATGTGGTGTTTCCACTTGGCTACACATGGCTTTATACTTAGACACGCCAAATATATGAGTTCCTGATATATTTTAGGATTTAAGTGCAATGTTCTCCGTTAAGTATATACAGACAATGCAGTCTGAGACTGCTCAATGATGTCTCACACACTTCTGACTCTAAAATCCAGACAGGGATGCCGAGTTCAAATGGAGTCCAGGAAAGGGATATAAGCTAACAGGGACAGAGATGCTGAAGGATTGGGACTTCCTTTGTACCTGTCCCTTCTCTCCAGGCAAACCTGCCAGAAGACCAATGAAATCTGAAGAAGAGTTTTCCTTGACCAGCTGCAAACTCTTCCCTGTCTTCCAACCCAGGAATGTTCATGGAAAGAAAGGAAATGAAAAAGATGAGAGAAATGGAAGGGAAAAAGCAAAGCATGTGTGAGACAGGAAAGGGGGAGCAGTTCTGAGCTAAACCAAAGCCAGGTGAAGGTCTTTTATGGAATTCTAAAGCCAGAATGATTTCACATCCCACTTAGGACAAATAGTGGCAAGGAAATGAACAAGGTACAATGAAGAGAGCACAAAATGGAAGAGGGAGAAGGTAGTAAACTAGGCTTTGAATGTGAAAGAAAAAGATCAACTACAATCTACTGTGATTTTGAAAGAAAAATCTACAGTCCTTGAACAGGAGACGTGACAGAACCATGAACTGAGAGAAATAAGACATCTGAAGTGCAATGTGAGACAGAGTGAAAGTGAAATTACAGCATGAGTAGAGGGAATCATGAACAAGTAAGAACAGTTCTCAAAATCTGTCCTGCATTAGGATCACCTCAGGCATTTGTTAAAATGCTAATTCTCACTCTCAAAAATTCTGATTCAGTGAGTCTAAAGTGAGGACCAGGAATATGCATTTAACAAGTAGCCCTATTAATTCTGATCCAACTCATCCTTGGTATAATTCACTTTGAGAATTACTGTCCTAGAGTGTGAGGAATCGTGTTAGAAGTGTGTCTTGGAGTGAACATACAAAAGGCCAAATTTGTAGTTATGAGTTAACTACTGAACTTTTCAATGCTATATGTGCGAACTTCCTCATATGTTTTTTCATATTCTGATATTGCATTTTAAGATTTTGTGCATTCGGAAGAAAAACCGTAATGACTTTTACAGAGTGATCATAACAGCAAATGCTTATATAAGCACTGTTTTAAGGTACTTTATATACATTAACACATTTAATCCTTACAATATCTCTATGAAGAAGGCGAGCATAGCATTAGTACCATTTTATAGCTGAGAAAACTAAAGCAGAGATGGGTTAGTCAACATATGCAATATTATTCAGTTAAGTGGCTATGTAGGCTTTGGAGGCTAACTCCAAACTCTCTACCCAATAACCACACTGTACTGCCATTTACATTTTATTTCAACAAATCACACATCACCACCTTGAATAATATGATAGATCATTTATGCTACGTTTCCAAGCATTCAGATATTTCAAGCTCATGCACAATAACCAAAACTCTCATAAGATTGCATAATTATGAATCTCCTAAAAGTTTCACTTTATTACTCTAATAAACATTACATTTATTTAAATGACACTACAGCTCTCTTGACTACTTTAAATATTTAACAGCATCTTTTTATGTCAGGACCAATGAGCTCAAATGCTGCATTCTTACAGTTTCCCAGGCAATTAGAGCTCCAAGATCCTGTGTTTAAGTCAGTAAATTCATTTTAAATTGGTCCCCATCAGTGAGTTTTGATTATGCAAAATGAGCACACAGGCATGATTGGAAATGCCTCAAATTCTGTGACATCATTGATAATTGCATCTCCTTTGCTTTCATCTTTTCACACTGTATGAAAAGTTGTTCGGGCAAAGTTGGCATTCAATAGAATTTAAAGATTAAAAAAAGCTTTGAAAATGAAGTTCCCATTAGAAGACAGGCATAATTACACAAATGCTGAATAGTTTATTTTTTAGAGTAGCTAGGTACACTTTCCTCTATCACACTAAAAATCTAGTCTTTGGAATTCCCTTTTTTTAAATTAAACTCAGAAGACAAGGCATTAGTAATTGACACAGCACATAAGTCTTAAATCTATTTTAGGTCATTTTTTTCTCTTACTAGATTTAACAAAATTTTTTCATGCCCCATCAGACCACTTATTTTTAAACTTCTCTATAAAATGAATTTCAAACATATGTTTTAAGATCATGATGTGCGTAATTTGTATTCTGTTGCAACTGTGAAAGAATAATTTTAGCATCACTGACATCATTCCTCTTCTCTAATGGGATGATATTCCAATATTCAAATCCTCTCATTTCCAGCTATCATCCATGTTCTTCTCCCACCTCTCACTTTTGTTTTGTATGATTCAAAAGAAATTAAAACTCTTTCTTCCACTATATCCCTTATCTCTTAATAGATCTCTTAGCATGCTAAGATGATATGTAATTTAATTTCTTGCTTATTTCCTGAATTCTACTGTGAGGTTCTGACAGAGTCCTGATAGCACACAGGCAGAAAGTCTCAAATTCTTGAATTCTAGTAATCATATTCAGTCTCTCCAACAAGTCACCTAATTTTGCTCCAAAAAAATTTCAGAATTAAAATCTGGACTATATTAGACCAGCTCTTACAATGTAAAATGGTTGTTTTCAGAAAAGCAGCTTACAGTTTAACATAACATTTGTATATTGTGTACCTGTACATCATGCAACGCCCTGTGCTCATCAATCACCGAGAACACAAAGATACTTAAAATATGTTCCTTGGCTTAAACAGAGTCATAGGGTTGGCCATTCAGATCAGGTCAATCAAAGCCAAGAAGACAGAAGACACAATTAGGAGACTTTCCTTTAAGCATAAGAATGGAAATTCCCTCTACCACTGTATTTGGGATTGTGATAATTGGGGCAAGTTCTCCCACAGTCTGGAAATGAAACAAACACAGCCACAGAGCCAAGGGGATGAAAGGAGCCACATTTTGATAATCAAGCTTAAGCTCTTGAATCCAGCTTTATCCTAGAGTTTTCAGTTTCTGAGACAATAAATTACGTTTTGTGCTCTAGCTGGCTTGGGTTGGGTTTTCCGTCACTTTCAACATCAATATTTATCCGCCAATCTCCAGTTTGTGATACTGCAAACTCATATTAGGATAAACAAAGTGGAAAGTCCCCTCTGTCCCACTCTAACATTCAACAGTATTATTCTTCTCTAAGGATTCATGAAAGGACACCACGCTAGCTATCTTCTGTTCCCATGCAATTATTACCACCATCTGTACTCACAGTCTAATATTTTCCCCTCCACCTCAAAACTGGTAATGACTAATAAGACACTTAGACAAACTAAGGATGTCTTCAGAATAGAACACAGCAGGACAAGAGTGTACCATATTGACTCAGTGTCCTGAAAAAGCTAAGCCCCTTCTGATTGTCACCAAGGAACCCCAATATCTTGCTTCTTTACATTAGTCTGACATTAATTTATTCCTATTGCTGTTTCCCACGATGCTTTATTGTTCCTGTTTAAAAACCTACTCCTATTTTCCCTACTTTATTTTTTACCTGGATTACGTAGCCCATAAGAGCATCAAATATTATAAAATTCATCAACAACGTGTCATTATAAGCAATAAATTCTAAATCCTGTTTATCTAGGACAGTACCTTCCTCCCATCTTGACTCAAATAAATGATGGGCACCTTAGGAAATGTAATAGGTATAGCATATTCTGATTAAAAGGAAAGAGTCAAAGAGTCTTTTTTTCTATGTCTCAATAACTATATAGAAACGGAGTAGAATAAGGAAGAGAGTAAAATAAATGAGAATTAGGACCCAATAGAAGACAATGAAAGAAAGTCATAATTCAATTAATTTTGCATTAATCGACTTCGATTAAAAATAAAACCTTCCCTCAATTTGAAAGTTGACTCTATCTCTTTACATTTCAGAATAAACAACTGTACAGTATCTATGAGTGATGGGACAAGGGCCTGAAAAGACAAACATTACTAGTGCAGAATTGAATGAACGCATTGACCTTATTAGCTTCATCTTTTACCTTGTCAATGCCATAGCAAGCATCTTCCCATGGTGTGACCACCAGGTAATTAATACTGAAAATATGATCCTAAAGGAACAAGGTTTTCAAGTTTAGAATTACTTGAATTCTATTACATCTACTAAGGGGCATTCTAAAACTATAGAATTACTCCTGTGGAACAAGAGAAGCTTCATCATTCCTATCATCAATTATTCAGCTTCTAAGCATTCTTAATCTGTCTTATTTGTATTTGGCAAGCACCACCAAAAAAAAAATGATCTTTGCCCTCTCCCAAACCAAAACAGAATTTAAATTTACAACTTTCAAAAGCAAAGTACTCTAATGTTACAAATAGAGTAAGTGCTAAACATTTTTAAAGTAATAAATAAAACGAATAGTCTCTTACTCAGACTGTAGTTAATGTTATTTGTCTTTATTTTTATTTATTTTTAATTTATAAGAAATACATTTTATTTTATTCATCTTTAAATAACTTATATATGCATGTGGCATAATATTTAAAAGGAATAAAAAGATAAACAGTAAAAAATAAGCCTCCCTCACAGTACCCTCCACCAGCCATATGCTGCTCCTACCCACAGTCAATCCCAGTTATCAACTTCATTTATATCTCTCAAGAGATTGTTTATGTGTGTACATATATACAGAAATATATGTATTCCTACAGAAGACAGACTATAGAAATCAGCACACCTTTCCAAGATGTTAGTTAACAAAGGAATACCAGACTTCCATGTAGACTTTCCTGTTGGGAATATGTTTATTGTCTCAGATACATACCATCAACATTGTATCTCTCATCAATAAAATGCCAGTTTCCATTGACTTTCACTACACCCATCAATTCACTCTTGGGGAATAGTTGACACAATTATGGTAACTTGCACTTTCCTAGACCACATATTATCAAACCTACATCAATCAAAAGTGGTTGCCCTCTACACATGATGGGCAACAGTCATCCTGGGATCCTTGTTTCTATCATCCTGGAATCTCTTTGAATCCTTTCCTGTGTTTCATCCTCTGTTTGTTAATCCCATGTTTTCTTCTTCCTTAGTAGTTTATTTGGTTTATTCCCTTGTTTTGATGGAGAACACCCTCCAGTCACAGCCTGAGAAAGCTTATGTAAAGATAAATGTTTTAGGTCTTGTATGTTAGGCATTATCACAATATTATCCTTCCACTTAACTAAAGGTTTAATTGAGTATAGAATTGTAGGTAAAAATAATTTTCTTTCAGAATTTTGAGAGCCTCAGTCCATTGTTTTCAAACTCCTAGTGTTGCTACTAAAAAATCTAAAATTGTTTTGATTCTAAAGTGTTTGTGACCCGTTCTGATTGTTTGTGTTGTCCTCCCTTTGGAAGGTTCTTCTCATTGTAAAGTGTTCTGAAACTTCAGAATGATGCATCTTGGAATTAGTTTATTCTTGTCCATTTGGATGAACACTCTGTAAATTCCCTTCAATGTGCCACTCATAACCTTCAAACGGACAAAGTTTCCTTTATTATTTCACAGTGATTTCTGCCCCCACTCCATTTTCACTGATCTCTCTCCTAGAACTCCTATTATTTCACACTGATATTCTGAGGATAGTTTTCTCATTTCCTTATATCTTATTCCTTATATCTTAATTACCGATTCTTTGATTTTTGCTCTGCTTCCCAAGAATTTAATTCATCATCAAATTTCAATTATCCTACTATTTTTAAATTTATGCTATCGTTTTCAATTTCTAAGAATTTAACAGTATCCTGTTATTTTTCCATTAATCCAATGATTTTGTAAAGTATCTTAGAAAATACTGATTTTAAAAAAAATCTTCCCTCTTTGTATTCTTTGTTACCTCTAAATTAACAAAAATAATTTGTTATTTATTCTGGAATCTGTCTTCTATATCTGGTAATTCTTCATCATCTATATATACTTAAAATTATGAGACTAAACTGATGACTGGGATGCTCTGAATATATGGATCTTCATATCTTCATATGATCAAGGATAAGTGACCAAAATAATACTTGAAAGTTCTGAGCATGTGCAGAAGGATGTGGCTTGTCAACTTTCAGTGAACGAGTGAACCACTTATTAGAAAGTCCCAATTTTAGTATCTACAGAAAAAACTTTACTCTTACATTGATCAGTTTCCCCAAAGAAGAATCTTCCATTCTCCCACCTAAAGGGTACAGATATAATTACCAGGACATCTGGGACCTAGTAGAAGGGGGTAAAAAACTGGAGTCTCTGAATTCGATCATCATATGGTCACTTAATCCCCTGTTTTATTTAGGGATCCTAACCCACAAACACGGCTCACATCATCATTCAAGAGATCCTGTTTTACCTTTCCTGGAGAATGAACACCAGATTTGGAGGGGTAAGCAGGGGGTCAGCAGCAGCACAGGATGGAAGGGATGATGATTTTAAGGATCTCCTGCAGCAGTTTTCTCCCCACCTAGTTGCTCACTCACCACCAAAGTTTTAAAGGTACCTGATACTATTATTTCCTGTGCCTTTAGTGGCTATTCTGTATAAATTTGGCTATTTCTCAGCCTCCTAGCTTACTGCTAAGCTTTCTTGGATCTGCTAAGAGAATCACTACTCATCCATTTGCCTTCTGGCTCCAAAACTGAGTTGCAACTGTTTCCTCTCGCCTTCCTTTTGTCCTTGCAGGTTTCTCTAATTGTTTGAAAACCCTTTTCTGTAAAGTGCTATATTAAAGGTAACTATCTGAAGGTAATAGTTAAAATTCTATACCCAATGAAACTATTAGTTAAGTGGAAGGATAATATCATGATAATTCCTAATATAAAAGACCTAAAACTTTTGTCTCTACATACCCTTTCTCAAGATGTTACTGGAGGGAGTTCTCCATCTAAACAAGGGAATAAACCAAGTAAACTAAGAAAGAAGAAAATATAGGATCAGCAATCAAGAGTCAAACACAGCAAAGCATCAAAGGAAATCCCAGGATGATATAAAGGGGAATACCAGGATATCTACTGCCCCCTAGGTGTAGAGGGCAACCACTTTTGATTGATGTACGTTTCACAACATGTGGTCTAGGAAAGTGCAAGTTACCATAATTGTGTCTACCCTTCCCTGGAGAATGAATGGATAGGTGTAGTGAAAGTCAATGGAAACTGCCATTTTATTGATGAGTTCTACAATAATTATGGTGTGTAGCTGAGACAATAAATAAATTCCCAACACGAATGTCTACCTGGAAGCCTAATATTCCTCTTTTAAACAATGCCCTTTTGTTTCCTTCTTTGTAGTTGTCGCTATTTGCATTTATTGTGTTTCTCTCCTTAGAACAAAAACACCTGCAGGACATTGAGCTTGCCCATCTTGAATAGCTTTACCTGTCCACCACCTAGTACAGTCCCTGGTATACAATGACCCTCAAGACATGCTTATTTAATGAAAAAACAAGTAAAGAAATAGATTAACCCACCATCTTAGAGTAATGAGAAGGTAGGAAAAGCATGGTATAGAAAAAGAAAGCAAGAGACTCTCTTCATCCTCCCTTGCCTTATTTAGTTTTGTCAGATTCAGACAAACACAGTTATTTTACTCTGACAATGGCATAGGCACAGACATGAGGCTAACGTCTGATTATTTTTTAAGAAAAAGGTATCCCAAGCTTGAATACAAGCCAAAAAGTAGTGTGTGGACTATGCTTTTAATGATCATACAAGGCACAGACCACTCAATAAAACACACTTAGTTAAATCAACAATTGTTTACCATTGATAAAAGATCTCAGACTTAGTGAAGTCACATGTAAATTGGGAAAAATTTGTCCTATAAAAGTGCAAGTACTTTCTTTTTCTTTTTTTTTCATCATCCTTTTACTTGGCTGAAAAGTGCAAGTAATTTTTGTACAGTGAAACATATAATCCATAAGTTACAGCTTTATTTCCCGGTAGGATGTTAACCAGTTTTACATCTCACCCAGAAACCTTACCTTATCATTTCTTTATTAATTTTCTTGTAAATATTTTGTTCCAAAAATGCTTTTTGCACCAGTATTAACACTCTATTAGTTTCCTCACTAACTAATGGGTTGAATAAAATCTTGACATGTTCATTTTATATTTGTGTGAGAGTTACGCTTGTAAACTTTCAAAAAATGTACCTACACACAATAATTTTTTCCAGAAAAGTAACCATGATATCACAAATTGCCATGGTACATACTAAGACTGATTCTACAATGGCCATTTCCATGAACAATAATGCAGTACAGACAAATACTTCCAGGAAAAGTAACATTTTACATAACAGAAACAGGGCAAGTAAATATCTGATCTAATACACAAAGTTTTTTCTATTTTTTTATCTTTTTTTTTTTTTTTTAAGACGTAGTCTCGCTCTATCACCAGGCTGGAGTGCAGTGGCGCGATCTTGGCTCACTGCAACCTCCACCTCCCGGGTTCAAGCGATTCTCCTGCCTCAGCCTCCTGAGTAGCTGGGACTACAGGCACGTGCCACCACGCCCAGCTAATTTTTCTATTTTTATTAGAGACGAGGTTTCACCATGTTGGCCAGGATGGTCTCAATCTCTTGACCTCATGATCCGCCTGCCTCGGCCTCCCAGAGTGTTGGGGTTACATAAAGTCTTTTAACTCATGTAACTGAACTTCTGATTTCTATCTTCTTTCTAGAATATTTAAGCTTGACATTTTCCATGAGCTCATGTACTCCCGTTTGCATGAGTCATCAAAAAACAGATCACAAAAGCCATTCGAGCTGTTTATATTTGGACTACATATGCCCACCATGGAAACAGGAAGAACAGTGTAGAGAAGCTTTAATTCCAGAGCTCTGTGGAGCTCTAGAAGATTATGGGTTTCAATTGTGCTTTCTCTCTCCCACATTTGCAAAGCACAAAATGAAAATCTCACTAATCTAAATCCTTTGAGGCCAATTTAGAAGCAATAAAATAAGTCAAAGTTTGCTCATATAGGTTATAAATCTGAGTATGTGACAGTGTCTCTGTCAAGTAGTAAGATAACTCTTGTCTTTTAGGTCCTTTAAAAAATAAGGATCACATGTTTAACTAAGATTTCTTAAACCACCATTAGATGGCACCCGTCTGTCTAAAAAAAAAATCAACAGCAACAATTTCACATATTATGAAGCGGTCTTAAGGATCTAAGGATAGATTTTTGACCCCTGTAACTCTTCTCAAACAAACGTAATTTTGTAATCCTACATAGATCTTAAAAAGTCATGAAAAGCAGTTTTCTTGAAATTAAGATCTCACTGAAAACAACTTTAATTAGCTCTAGTCAAACAAAATTTTTTTTTTCTCCTGAAATTCAGTAGTATTATCTAATTTTTAAAAATTGTTTCTTTGGATACTTTCTGTGAGTTTCTTTCTCTTCATTGAAGACAGTCTGTTTTTATTGAAGAATCTAGGTGCTTATGCTTTCTAAATGAATTATTTGCACTCACTGCCAGTAAGAAAGAAAGCAAAAGAGGGAATTTAATGTTACAAACCCAGATGCCTAGAGATATGTGTTTTTTAGTCCAAACTGTGATTACAAAACAATACTAAAAGATCATTTTTGCCAAGATTTAAAATTTGTAGATTTCACATTTTAAAAAAATGGATGTCTAGATTATTTTGAAAAATTACCAGAATTGGCAAATCTGGGTCCACATTTCTCCATGGCATCCCTTGCCTGGAGCTAAGCAGTAGCTGCCAGTTAGACAGAGAATTTGCTCTCCTATACCCTCCTAATGTCTCCTCAGACTAGGGTCAAAGAGGAAAGTAAGAAATTTCTTATCTCCATGTCATTCAGAGGCGGAAAACCAGTTCACAAGGTGGTGAGCGTGCATGTGTGTGTACGTGCCTGCACACACGTGTGTGCAGGCACGTACACACACATGCACGCTCACCACCTTGTGGAATGCCTCCATGCAGTGTCCCAGGACTTTGATTTCATAGGACAATGGGAAGAATTCCTGGCAGTACCTCCATGGGCATCCTAACACAGATGCCATGAAACCTTTAGCTGGACACTGCAAGTGCCTCCTGGGGTGTTGGGCCCCAAGTCACCTCCAAAGCAGGAGGCAAGCATTGATTCCACTCAGCTTTGGGCTCCAATCTAGTCTCTGCCATCTTCCCAGCTGTAGAAGTTTAGACAAGTCACTTCCCTTCACATGGCCTTGAGTTTCCTCAATTGCTAAAGGGAAGCAAAATGAAAAGCTACAGCACTGAGGTAGTCATGAGGCCCAGGGGAGGGAATCCATCTCTGTGCACCATGAAGTGCCAGTTTCTAGGCTGTAGACCTTCAATCTCCACATGGTCAAGAGACCAAAGGAAACAGCATTGGGCATCCTGGACTGTCTTATATGAGCACCACCCATACATCCACAAGCTCCTGCCTACCCTCCACAGTAGCAACATTAGAGTGAAGGAATGTTTGAAGTAGATGGAAACATTGAGAACTTAGGAAAGTTTAAAAGAACAATGAAAACTCATCATGGACTTCAAGGTCAGAAGAGAAATGAATTACAACACTGTATGTGAAAGAACAAAATGTTGGGGCTTCTGATGTTCTGGATGACCCCCAAAATTTGAACCACAGTATCCGCCACCTCTACACACTGCAACTGGCATGGGAAGCACAGGTAGAGGTCTGGGAACTTGGCAGATGCCTACCCTCCCAGCTACATGTATGATCTCAGAGAAGGAGAACAGTACTTTTCATGGTTAGAAAAAAAAGTTTGTATTTCATCTGTAATAATTTGTGGTTCCTCCAGGTTTAGAAAATAAAAAGGAAAAAGAAATGATAGAAACCAAAAGTTAGATCAAGAGGCCCTGAAAGTGTTTTGAAATGGAAACCACTGCCACACCACTTTGCATGTGCCCAGTCTTTCTTCAGGCTTAAACACCACAAATCTTTTAACCACCCAGCTTCTGCTGAGCCACCACCATGTCTATTAATCATTTCTAAAACACAACAGAAATACAAAGCATAATACAATTTGACTAATTAAAGTCAACACTTTATTCCAGTTTTCTTCGTTTTTAGCTAATTTTCTTTTTCTGTTCCAGGATCACATCCAGGACACCACATTACATTGGGTTGTCATGTTTCCTTGGGCTCCTTTTGGCTGTGACATTTCCTCAGAGTTTTCTTATTTTTGATGACTTTGGCGCTTTTGAGGAATGTGGTCAGGTATTCTGTAGCATGTCCCTCAGCTGGGATTTGTCTGATAACTTTCTCATGATTAGACTGGGGTTATGGGTTTTGGGGAAGACCAAAAAGGCAAAAAGACTTTCTCATCACTTATACAAAAGGTACATACTATCAACATGACTTATCACTATTGGTGTCGAGCTTGGTTACCTGGCCGAGGTGGTATTTGTCAGGGTGCTCCACTGCAAAGTTACTCTTGCCCTCTTTTCCATACCAACTACTTTGGAAGGAAGTCATTATGTATAGCACCCCTCTCCCCTTTCGAAAATTTCTTACTGTTTTCCGTTAAATCAAACAAACTTACTTCCTTCCATCTATCTACCGACATATTAAAAACTGTACCAGGCATCGAAACATTGTCAGGATGTTGTATTGTAAATCTGCAGAATTTGGGAATGGAATCTAATTGGATGATGAATAGGATACACATACGGGAGTCTAAAAGAATTAATGGAATACAGGATCATTACAGCATACATTTATGGAGATGTGTTGCCAAAAGGCTAATTAACAATTTCAGATTTTCCTCTTCAAATATTCTCTGAAATCATGTGTCTACGTTCATTATTTCTTCTGTTAATAAGGCTCTTGATCATAATGTTCCAGGCTGTAGTGATGCCTGTATACCCTTATTGTCCAAGCCTCCAGCAATCCCCAAATGACTGCTGGTTTTTACTATATTTCCTTGGCTTCCTCAAGCAATTATAGCCTCCAGCAGTATCACTTGCAAACCACTTTCTAGCCATTAAAGCTATAAACTGTTACCCAGAATTTAGACTAATTGGCCAGTTGGATAATTCCAATCTTCACACTGAAAAAAATGCAGCAGAGCCTAGCATCTATGCCCTTAGAGTACTCTGATACTTACCAGCAGGGCAACTATGAGCAGGCTGTTAATGTTTGAGTCTATTGTTAACGTCTGAGTCTACTTCCTCTTCTGTAAAATGAAGTTATAAGACTACTGACTTTATTTGGTTATTTTGATCTGGGATTAAGTCCAATGTTTTTCTGTTTTCTAATTCATCAATTTCATTTTTAATCTTTATCAATTCTCTATCCTGATTGGTTTAGTACGGTATTCTTTTAAGATTCATAAATTGAAAACCAAGTTACTTTTTATTATTTAAAAGATACGGTTTTGCTTCATGTATAGTTTTGGCTGCATCTCAGGTTTGGTAAGTGGAGTTCCTAGTGGTATGATATTCTAAAAAGTCTGTTATATTATGAAATTCTAAAAAGCCTATTGCCACAGATATGAGTTCCTATTTAACACAAGGCTTATTTACAAGAATTCGTTTTCCCTTGCTGCTTTTTTTTTTTTGAGATGGAGTTTCACTCTTGTTGCCCAGGCTGGAGTGCAACGGCGTGATCTTGGCTCACTGCAACCTCCACCGCCAGGTTCAAGTGATTCTCCTGCCTCAGATTCCTGAGTAGCTGGGATTACAGGCATGCACCACCACGCCCGGCTAATTATTGTATTTTTTAGTAGAGACGAAATTACTCCATGTTGGTCAGGCTGGTCTTGAACTCCCGACCTCGGGTGATCCACCCGCCTCGGCCTCCCAAAGTGCTGGAATTACAGGCGTGAGCCACTGCGCTCGGCCGGGTTTTCCCTTGCTTCTAAGTGAAAGGATATTTTGAATGTTTTTTTAATGCATCTTTTTTTTAATTTTTGTTTTTAAAAAGAAGTAGGTCTTTATTTAATTTTGTTCACAATGTGCTGTTTTCTGGTTCTCACTTTCATTTATTACTTTTGACACAAAATGGAATTGTGTGAATTTACCAATGATATGAAGAAAAATAAACATTTTATTATTCTGGCTAAATATGTGGCAATTCCTCAAGGATCTAGAACTAGAACTACCATTTGACCCAGCCATCCCATTACTGGGTATATACCCAAAGGATTATAAATCGTGCCACTATAAAGACACATGCACATGTACGTTTATTGCTGCACTATTCACAATAGCAAAAACTTGGAACCAACCCAAATGTCCATCAATGATAGACTGGATTAAGACAATGTGGCACATATACACCATGGAATAGTATGCAGCCATAAAAAATGATGAGTTCATGTCCTTTGCAGGGACACGGATGAAGCTGGAAACCATCATTCCCAGCAAACTATCACAAGGACAGAAAACCAAACACTGCATGTTCTCACTCATAGGTAGGAACTGAACAATGAGAACAACTGGACACAGGGTGGGGAATATCACACCCCAAGGCCTGTTGTGAGGTGGGGGGAAGGGGGAGGGATAGCATTAGGAGAAATACCTAATGTAAATGACGAGTTAATGGGTGCAGCAAACCAACATGGCATATGTATACCTAGGTAACAAACCTACACGTTGTGCACATGTACCCTAGAACTTAAAGTATAATAATAAAAAATATATATGTGATGCTCAAATGAATTAGGCAGAGCTCCGGAAGATCACTTATGGTCCAACTAAGTACTACCTCTTTCCCATTTGCAAGGTATTTGCGTGTCATATTATCTATTGTCACTACCAGGAGCCATTTACCAAACTAAAACAAGATATTTAATATTTTTTAGACATTCAATCCCTTCAATTAACAATTTTCCACAGGGCCTCAAGGACTGTACAAAATTATATTAAAATAAGAGCCTTAATTTGCAACCAAAATACCTGAACATGCTCTATTATTCCCCCAACTTCTACAATCCTCCATCAATTTGAAACTTGTAAAACCTAAGCCTGGATTACAAACATTTCCATCCCAGGAAGTTTGAAGCCAATGACTTTACAGTATTATTTCTCCATCCGCCTCATACACATTGAACTTGTGAGATTTCATGTCATCTCGGTATGCTACGATGTTTTGTCGATATGCTTATATCTCTAAGGAAAAATCTCTGAGATTGGGCTTCTCTGGCTTCTTAGTTACACAGAAGTTTATAAATAAAAAAAAAGATGATAAAGCCTAAGATCAATTTTTAATGACTTTCTATAATGCTTGATAAGATTACAAAAGCATTTATCAATCAGGTAAAAACCAAATGTGAAAATACTCTTTGCTAAATCCATTGAAGATTGTTAAGTACCCTCTAGAAGTAACACTAACTCCAGGGTAAACTCATTTCAGACTGATGTATTTAGTGATAAAAATGTTAATAACAGCTATCAGAACATTTAAAAATTCCATGTCAAGGGATGAAAATTTTCTAGTTTAGGGAATGCCTAAGAGTTTATCAATAACTGATCATTTAGATGGGTGAGAGCTGTATAAAACATTTTGTAAAATTTTTTATTTAAAATTTTAAATAAGGTATTCATTAGGTTTGATTTAAATTCATCTTTGCAGAGAAGTGAATGCCTAATACTATATTGGCTTTACTTTTTTGGCTTTCACGAACATACTTTGTAAGTACACCTGTGTTTTTCTCAATGCATTTACTCTAACCATCTAATTTCTTTTCTTACCTTAAGCCTCTACTCTTTGGGGGTTTTTTATGGCCATGAGCTACTACCTACACATATTCCAAAATTAAATGTTTCTCTTCTTTTCTCATTCTTAAAGGATTTGGTGGGTTTTTTTGTTTTAAATGCAGCCCAAACTGTGTTTCAGTACTCTGCTGGGATTGGAGGGATAATAGGGTTAGATTGATAGATTTGATTAAAATTGTCTTATAGCTGTGATGTAACGAAGATTATTAATTCCTTGGTATCCCTAGCATGTAACAAGTATGAACTAGTCCACAACACCCATGGTGCAAATGTGTCAGCACTCCGTTATTTTCCAAATTAAATTAAATCCTACTCAAGACGCCATGCATCACACTGGCAGGAAATCCATTTTTACCTCTTGGAGCTCCCCTACTTGTATGCTCTAAGAATTCCAGTGGCTAATGCATTCCTAAAGGAGGTCTGGTGTCTCCCAGACTACAGTACTTCAGCTGCCACTGAGCTCCGGTACCTGATGCCCTGTCTTAAGCCAGTCTTCCTCCATCTGTCCAGGCCTGCTACTTCAGGCTGTGTCCCATGTGCCTCGCTAGCCCCAACTCCTGGCACGGGTCAGCACGTACTCTGTATGTGCTTTCTTCAGAGGAGAAACGCTCCACTGCCTATGCCATTTCTTTAGTGCTATCTTTAGCCCACAGGGTCCCTAAGCAGCTCTCCCTGGCTACAGGGCTTAGCGCCAAGTCTTTTCAAGAGCTTAGTCTTTTCGTTCATGGACACAAGTTTGAAAGAGCTTAAAGGAAAGCCATGTGTGGCATGTGGGCACTATTGATGTGCTGTGGCTGTGTCTAACATTCATTCATCATTCAATGGCATTCAAAAAGTACTCACTGAGTCTCTACTATCTGCCAGGCATAATTGAAGGCGTGGGTATACCGCAGTAAACATGACGAAAATCAAGGCATTTAAATAGGATTCCATCTCCAGTGAGTTTTTTCCTAAGAAAAAGTAAATCCTTTTTAAATCTATTCTTGCCTCCCAACTACGCCCTCCACACTACCGCGTGAATAGTTACTGAAAATGAATAGTATATCTTCATACATTTAAAATAAGAATGTTTATTCTTATTTGCTTTCATTATTGCATCAGATTCCCCATCAATATTAACTGTCCACCCTTAAACTTTTGTAATAGTTCAAACATTTAAAAGATTTTATTTCCCTTCCCTCAAAATTATCCATCTCTATCTCCATAGACTGTCTCCAAAAATGGAACATGCATACTCTTCTCTAAGAATAACCCACCATCTATGCTTCTGACCTCATTCTTTCATGTTTAAGATTTTACCTCTTAATTTATCTTCCTCTTCTCTTCTTCCTCTCTTCTCTTCTCTCTCCCTCTTTCTCTCTCTCCTTTGCTCCTCATCCCACGAATGCACTCTTCTTACCTACAAACAACTTCCCATTCTCAGCCTGGTTTCCTCTTCAAGCTTCCACTTCAACTCCCTCCTTCCCTTCAATATCAGATTTAACCCTGTCCTCTGAGCAATCTCAGCTTTGCCTGGTCCCTGTAAAAGTCTCCCAGTGCAACTCTTATCCTTTCATTTAAGTTCCAACCAATATTCCCCAGTGTGGTCTATGCAATGTTATGCCCACATTTTGATCAGATGAAAGAATTCTGTTAGAAATACATTTAGGAAATACATTTGTGCAGATACTAAATAACCTTCTTAAATATTCAAAATACTTACTAAAGTCTATAACAAACCCTAAGTAGGCCTAAAAGAATACAACTTTTATTCAATATTTCCAAAATCTATAATGGCCACAGAACAACTTTCCCCATTGATATTTACATCCTGCAGAACAACACTCATATTGTCAGCTATCAAAACACTTCCACTGAGCTACCTCGAAGTTTCTGGCAAACTTTTGATTATAGTGGCAATAATTCTTGTTAAAGAAATAAATCCCCAATCCTGCTCACACTTTCAACTGACTTCTACACATCTCCAAACAAATGTCCTACCAGTCCCTCAAACATGTATCAAACCAAAACTAAGTGTAACCTCCCAACTACCCTCTGCCTCTGTCCTGTGTCCACATAGTGAAGATGAGTTGATCATATCTCTCTTATAAATCACCTGTAATATTATTCTTTGTCTTATAACTAAAAAGACCACCCACCACTCTTTTTGTTTTTGTTTTAAGAAGTGTGTTTAGTCTGTTCTCATATTGCTATAAAGAACTGCCAGAGCTCTCACTCTCCCTCTCCCTCTCGCTCTCCCTCTCCCTCGCCCTCTCCCTCGCCCTCGCCCTCTCCCCATGGTCTCCCTCTCCCTCTCTTTCCACGGTCACCCTCTGATGCCGAGCGGAAGCTGGACTGTACTGCTGCCATCTCGGCTCACTGCAACCGCCCTGCCTGATTCTCCTGCCTCAGCCTGCGGAGTGCCTGCAATTGCAGGCGCGCGCCGCCACGCCTGACTGGTTTTCGTATTTTTTTGGTGGAGACGGGGTTTCGCTGTGTTGGCCGGGCTGGTCTCCAGCTCCTAACCACGAGTGATCCGCCAGCCTCTGCCTCCCGAGGTGCGGGGATTGCAGACGGAGTCTGGTTCACTCAGTGCTCAATGGTGCCCAGGCTGGAGTGCAGTGGCGTGATCTCGGCTCGCTACAACCTCCACCTCCCAGCCGCCTGCCTTGGCCTCCCAAAGTGCCGAGATTGCAGCCTCTGCCCGGCCGCCACCCCGTCTGGGAAGTGAGGAGCGTCTCTGCCTGGCCGCCCATCGTCTGGGATGTGAGGAGCCCCTCTGCCTGGTTGCCCAGTCTGGAAAGTGAGGAGCGTCTCTGCCCGGCGGCCATCCTATCTGGGAAGTGAGGAGCGCCTCTTCCCGGCCGCCATCACATCTAGGAAGTGAGGAGCGTCTCTGCCCGGCCGCCCATCGTCTGGGATGTGGGGAGCGCCTCTGCCCCGCCGCCCTGTCTGGGATGTGAGGAGCGCCTCTGCCCGGCCGCCACCCCATCTGGGAGTTGAGGAGCGTCTCTGCCCGGCCGCCCCGTCTGAGAAGTGAGGAGACCCTCCGCCCGGCAGCCACCCCGTATGAGAAGTGAGGAGCCTCTCCGCCCGGCAGCCGCCCCGTCTGAAAAGTGAGGAGCCTCTCCGCCCGGCAGCCACCCCGTCTGGGAAGTGAGGAGCGTCTCCGCCCGGCAGCCACCCCATCCGGGAGGGAGGTGGGGGGGGTCAGCCCCCCGCCAGGCCAGCCGCCCCGTCCGGGAGGGAGGTGGGGGCGTCAGCCGCCCACCCGGCCAGCTGCCCCGTCCGGGAGGGAGGTGGGGGGGTCAGCCTCCCGCCCGGCCAGCCACCCCGTCCGGGAGGTGAGGGGCGCCTCTGCCCGGCCGCCCCTACTGGGAAGTGAGGAGCCCCTCTGCCTGGCCAGCCGCCCCGTCCGGGAGGGAGGTGGGGGGGTCAGTTCCCCGCCCGGCCAGCCGCCCCGTCCGGGAGGGAGGTGGGGGGGTCAGCCCCCCGCCCGGCCAGCCGCCCCATCTGGGAGGGAGGTTGGGGGGTCAGCCCCCCGCCCGGCCAGCCGCCCCGTCCAGGAGGTGAGGGGCGCCTCTGCCCGGCCGCCCCTACTGGGAAGTGAGGAGCCCCTCTGCCCGGCCAGCCGCCCCGTCCGGGAAGGAGGTGGGGGGGTCAGCCCCCCGCCCGGCCAGCCGCCCAGTCCGGGAGGGAGGTGGGGGGGTCAGCCCCCCACCCGGCCAGCCGCCCCGTCCGGGAGGGAGGTGGGGGGGTCAGCCCCCCGCCCGGCCAGCCGCCCCGTCTGGGAGGTGAGGGGCGCCTCTGCCCGGCCGCCCCTACTGGGAAGTGAGGAGCCCCTCTGCCCGGCCAGCCGCCCCGTCCGGGAAGGAGGTGGGGGGGTCAGCCCCCCGCCCGGCCAGCCGCCCAGTCCGGGAGGGAGGTGGGGGGGTCAGCCCCCCACCCGGCCAGCCGCCCCGTCCGGGAGGGAGGTGGGGGGGTCAGCCCCCCGCCCGGCCAGCTGCCCCGTCCGGGAGGTGAGGGGCGCCTCTGCCCGGCCGCCCCTACTGGGAAGTGAGGAGCCCCTCTGCCCGGCCACCACCCCGTCTGGGAGGTGTGCCCAACAGCTCATTGAGAACGGGCCAGGATGACAATGGCGGCTTTGTGGAATAGAAAGGGGGGAAAGGTGGGGAAAAGATTGAGAAATCGGATGGTTGCCGTGTCTGTGTAGAAAGAAGTAGACATGGGAGACTTTTCATTTTCTTCTGTACTAAGAAAAATTCTTCTGCCTTGGGATCCTGTTGATCTGTGACCTTACCCCCAACCCTGTGCTCTCTGAAACATGTGCTGTGTCCACTCAGAGTTAAATGGATTAAGGGCAGTGCAAGATGTGCTTTGTTAAACTGATGCTTGAAGGCAGCATGCTCATTAAGAGTCATCACCACTCCCTAATCTCAAGTACCCAGGGACACAAACGCTGTGGAAGGCCGCAGGGTCCTCTGCCTAGGAAAACCAGAGACCTTTGTTCACTTGTTTATCTGCTGACCTTCCCTCCACTATTGTCCTATGACCCTGCCAAATCCCCCTCTGTGAGAAACACCCAAGAATGATTAAAAAAAAAAAAAAAAAAAAAGAACTGCCAGAGACTGAGTAATTTATAAAGGAAAGATGTTTAATTGACACATGGTTCTGAATGGCTGGGGAGGCCTCAGGAAACTTACAATTATGGCAGAAGAAGCAGCAAACATGTCCCAGGAGAGAGAAGTGCTGAGCGAAGGGGGAAGAACCCCTTATAAAACTATCACAACTCACAAGAACTCACTCACTATCATGAGAACAGCATGGAGGTAACTGCCCCCATGATTCAATTACCTCTCACCTGGTACCTCCCATGACATGTGGGGATTACGAGATCTACAGGTCAAGATGAGATTTGGATGGGGACACAGCCACACCATAACAAAGTGTGTCATATTTTATTTACCTTTGCATCCTCTTCTACCCTAAACCTAATCATATTCCAAATTACCAATCTATACTTTTTTATTTCAAGAAGAAATCGTATTACACAGACTTACAAACACTTGTGTTTGCTTGAGGGGTGGATTATAAAAATGTTCACTATTTTTATTGTAGTAATGTTTTTGCAGATGTATACATCTGTGGTAGTGGATCAAATTGTACAATTTAAACATAAGAAGTTTATTTTAATTTAATTACATATCAAGAAAGTTATGTAAAAAACATAAAATTCTTAGCATGCTTGGAATACAAGAGAATTTGCTAATTTGATAAAAAGCTTGTACCAAAAAAAAACTCCTACCAAGATCATAGTTAATGATAAAAGATTTTTTTTCTTTGAATACTACATATTTTTTTTATTTCAATGGGTTTCGGGAGAACAGGTGGTATTTGGTTACATGAGTAAGTTCTTTTGGTGGGATTTCTAAGATTTTGATACACCCCTCACCCAAGCAGCGTACACTGTACCCAATGTGTACTCTTTTTAAAAAATTATTATTATACTTTAAGTTCTAGGGTACATGTGCACAATGCGCAGGTTTGTTACATAGGTATACATGTGCCATGTTGGTCTGCTGCACCCATCAACTCGTCGTTTATATTAGGTATTTCTCCCAGTGCTATCCCTCCCCCAGCCCCCACCCCACGGCAGGCCCTGATGTGTGATGTTCCCCGCCCTGTGTCCATGTGTTCTCATTGTTCGATTCCCACCTATGAGTGAGAACATGTGGTGTTTGGTTTTCCGTCCTTGTGATAGTTTGTTCAGAATGATGGCTTCCAGTTTCATCCATGTCCCTGCAAAGCACATGAACTCATCCTTTTTTATGGCTGCATAATATTCCATGGCGTATATGTGCCACATTTTCTTAATCCAGTCTATCATTGATGGACATTTGGGTTGGTTCCAAGTCTTTGCTATTGTGAACAGTGCCGCAATAAACATACATGTGCATGTGTCTTTATAGTAGCATGATTTTTTATAATCCTTTGGGTATAAACCAAGTAACAGGATTGCTGGGTCAAATGGTATTTCTAGTTCTAGGTCCTTGAGGAATCACCACACTGTGTTCCACAATGGTTGAGCTAATTTACACTCCCATCAAACTTGTAAAACCATTCCTATTTCTCCACACCCTCTCCAGTACCTGTTGTTTCCTGACTTTTTAATGATCGCCATTCTAACTGGCATGAGATGGTATCTCATTCTGGTTTTGATTTGCATTTCTCTGATGACCAGTGATGATGAGCATTTTTTCATGTGTCTGTTGGCTGCATAAATGTCTTCTTTTGAGGAGTGCCTGTTCATATCCTTCGCCCACTTTTTGATGGGGTTGTTTGTTTTTTCCTTGTGAATTTGTTTAAGTTATTTGTAGATTCTGGATATTAGCCCTTTGTCAGATGGGTAGATTGCAAAAATTTTCTCCCATTCCATAGGTTGCCTGTTCACTCTGGTAGTTTCTTTTGCTGTGCAGAAGTTCCTTCCTAGAAGAAAACCTAGACAATACCATTCAGGACACAGGCATGGGCAAAGACTTCATGTCTAAAACACCAAAAGCAACAAATGGCAACAAAAGCCAAAATAGACAAATGGGATCTAATTAAACCCAACGTGTAGTCTTTTATCCCTCACCCTCCTACCACCCTTTCCAAAATCCATTGTATCATTCTTATGCCTTTTCGTCCTCATAGCTTAGCTCCCACTTATGAATGAGAACATACAATGTTTGGTTTTCCATTCCTGAGTTACTTCTCTTAGAATAATGGTCTCCAATTCCATCCAGGTTGCTGCAAATGCCATTATTTCATTCCTTTTTATGGCTGAGTCCTCCATGGAACATATATACCACATTTTCTTTATCCACTCATTGATTGATGGGCATTTGGGCTAGTTCCATATTTTTGCAATTGCGAATTGTGCTGCTATAAACACGCATGTGCAAGTATCTTTTTCATATAATGACTTCTTTTCCTCTGGGTTGATACCCAGGAGTGGGACTGCTGGATCAAATGGCAGATCTACTTTTAAGGAATCTCCACACTGTTTTCCATAGTCCAAACATTTGTTTTGAGTTTACATCACCTAAGTTACATCCTGAATCACTCCTTATTATCTGAGTTAGCTTGGCAAGTGGCTTAGCATCTCTAAATCTCAGTTGTGTCTCTAAACCTGTTTTCTCATCTGAAAATGTGAAATTAAATCACCCACCTCAAAGAGTAGTTGTGAGGATTCACTGAAATAATGTATGTAATATACTTAGCGCAATGCCTAAGTTATGTTAACCATTCAATAACTTGTGTTATTCTTATTAATTCTTATTAATTCACCCAATTTACATGAACAAAACCATAGCTACTAAAAGAATGTTTCAACAAGTGGGACTTCAGGTTCAAAGTATTTTTAGCTACTAACACAATAATTCACTTTAAGTGTCCCGGATTAGTTGACTTTTTCAATCATTTACAATTCCCTAGTGGTCAGTTAAGCATTGAGCCATTAGCAATTATGCCTTTCCTTTAGCAAATCTCTAGTTATTTTAGCTGTTTATAATGTATACTGGTTTGCTTAACCCCCCTACAATTTAAAGTGAACAATTATTTTGTCATTATTATAGTAACTATTTTATCTAACCAGTAGATAATATTTACATAATTTCAGAAGTGATATATCAGAAAAATATGAATATATATATATATTTTTTTTGAGACAGAGTCTTGCTGTGTTGCCCAGGCTGGAGTGCAGTGGTGTGATCTCAGCTCACTGCAACCTCTGCCTCCCAGGTTCAAGCAGTTCTCATGCCTCAGCCTCCCAAGTAGCTGGGATTACAAGTATGGCTTGTAACCAGGCCTGACTAATTTTTTGTATTTTTAGTAAGGACGGGATTTCACCACGTTGCTCAGGCTAGTCTCGAACTCCTGGCCTCAAGTGATCCACCCACCTTGGCCTCCCAAAGTGCTGGGATTACAGGCATGAGCCATCATGCTCAGCCTCATTAAAAATATTTTATGACAAAGGATAAATGCTTGAGGTGATGATACCCCATTTACCCTGATGTGATTATTATGCATTACAAGCCTGAATCAAAAAATCTCATGTAACCCATAAATTATACACCTACTATGTAACCACAAAAATTAAAAATTAAAAAAATTATGAAAACTACAGACACTGGGAAGTGTTCAAGGGTAACAAGTAGGATAAATACAATACAAAAATACTATTACAGCATTTTTATTTAAAAAAACACACAAGTGCCATTTTTCCAGTAATAGTATTTAAATGAATATATAACATGACAGATATGTCTGTTGTTACAGAACATTAAAATAACAGTGTATTATTATACTTTCAAATTGGATGGGGCCACTTTTAATAGATTACAGGTAGCTGCAAATTCTTTAGTGCTCCTCACTTTGAGAATGGAGTCTAAGTCCTCTCCCCTTGAATCTGGGCTTTGGTGACTTGCTAAACCAAAAGAATGGAGTAGAAATGTGACATTCTTGGTCTTCTGAAGCTACGTCATTAAGTTGTTTTGAAGTTTCTGCCCAGTCCTCTTGGAATGCCTGCCCCAGAGGAAGGCACCACAGTATAAGGGATCTGACTACCTAAGACTGCCATGCTTTCAGGAAGCCTAAGCTAGCCACATGGAATGGCTATATGGAAAGAGACATATCTAGTTAGCCTCCAGCCATCCATACATGTCATGTCCAGATATGACATCACAACTCAGACATCAGATACATGAATGATTAAGCAGTAAGATGACATCAGCCTCAGCCGTTATCGAGCTGCAACTATGATGCACCCCAAGGAAGAAGAGCCCAGCTAAGTCCTTCAAACCCTAGACCTGTGAGAAATCATCGTAAATTAATTTAAGCCACTAAGTTTGGACATGGCTTCTTACATAGCAATAGATAACAAAATATCTCTGTTTCTGATCCTGCTGTTTGAATACACATGAATTCCTCAAATGAAATACAACAAAACGTGTCATTTTAATTCTTATAATTATTTAAAATAATAAGGGAAGTCATATCATAAAATATCAAGGTATATTTTAAATGAGTTTCATGATGCAGCATGTTAATCTAAAATGGAATATTTTACATTAAAATAGAAAAAAATGTACAAATATATTTATGTATATAAGTGAGTATATCCATAGAAAAGCACTGGAAGAACAGTGGTCAACCTTTAGGTACAGAGTTTTTCAGTAATTTTGGTGTTTCTTTGTGCTTTTCTATGTTTTCCATAGTTTCTACATTGAATATATTTTACTTTTGGTCATTTCTGATGCTGTTTTTGAAAAGCAAAATTCCAGAAATTAGAACTCTGAACCAAAACCTTAAAACTAAGATCATTTAACACCCAGAATCTAGCACTTGAATTGTGGGTATAAACACCCAGGGCTTAATTACAACCTTATAGTTAGAATTAGATTAATGTCTTCTCCACCCATAAGCAAACAGGGAACTCCTTAACATGTTTCATACATGTCAAATGTTTTTATAAAATAAAAAAGGCAAAAATATCACTTAATCAACACAAGCATATAGACATTGAAACAAAAAACAGATCATCTATTGTATTTTTACCATTCCCCACTTTTCTTCCATTCCACACTTTCTTTCTCAGCCATAATACATTGCTTGAGGAGAGAAGCCAGTTTCCCTCCACATGCATGTATTTCACATCCTTCTGTGAAATCCTTTGTACCTAAAACTTACCTTTGAAGAAAATTCACAAGTGAAAAGGAAGCCATTAACAGAATTCATTGAGTGCATCAACTATGGTATCTTTCATCTCTTGACTTCAACTTAGGAACTCTGGTGTCATAAACTGAAATACGGGGAGTCTTTTTGTAATAATGTAATGACTCCTCAGACTTCCCTCTTTTATTATTTTGCCTTTGATCAATGTGTCCAGCGTGCAGAACACTTTGAAGTTATACCACCCACTCCACCCTCACTTTCTATCATGATAATTGTCTTTTCCTTCAATCAAAAAATTTAGGCTAATCAATTGCCTTTAAAAAAATAGAAGATATCTTTATTTTTCTCTTTGTGTTTCTTGAAAGACAATACTTTTAGCTTCTTATTATTCTGACTGAAAATTTTAGTTTGATGCTCTTTTAATTCCTGATTTCCATCTAAGTTGCAAAATCAGCTGAGAATTCTGAGGTTATAAGGAGGCAGTTAGGCTCCGAGTTAAAGTTTTCAATGAATTGGTTTACTTCAACTTCTCACTTGGACTCACTTTCCCATTATCAGAGTTGTACCCTCCCACTCTAAATATCCCCCGCTTCCCTAACTTCAGCTACTTCTTATGACTCTTTAGATATTCATTTGTGGTTTAGAACATACGAAAGGATAGCAATACAAAAAGTGAGTGGGAGGGCACATGGTCAGTTCTTCCTTCTTGAGTCACGTTTTCCTGTGGCTTCCTGACACCACACTCCTCTGGTTTTCCTTCTCACCTCACTAGAAGCCCCTCTGCCTCCTTTGCTGAACCCTTGCCTTCTTTCTGACCTCTACGTCATGGGACGTATCACTTCTCAGGCTCAGACTGCTTCATCCACATTCAGACTCACTCTGGTCTCATTCACTCACCTGTAATTTAAAATACCGTCTCCCAAATTTACATCTCCAGCCTAACTTCCAAAAATTTCCTAACTTCCCCTAAATTCCAAACTCATTATCTCCATGAGACTATTTGGCATCTCCAGGTGAAGATTTTTTAATCTCATTTTTACTTTCTAAATATATAACACATTTATATGAATCCAAAGTTAAACCTATATAAGAAAGTATATTCAGAGAATGCTCACTTCCATTTACCCATTCTTTTCCTCCCTCTATAGATAATCATTTCTACTAGGTTTTAAGTCACCAACGTTTCTTTTATAAGTAAATGCATATATACTGGCAAATAACTGAAATAAAGCAACTGAATATAAAGTAGTGATAATAGCACAGACATAAATTTTTCTAGTGGCTATAGAATACAGTATTTTCACTGTCTATACCTAGTAGAATAAATTCTAAGGACAAATACAGCTGTAAAGAAAGCTTATATTTCATTAAATATTCTCAGTGGTAATATCAGTATAATTATGTGAAATTAAATGTTTATGCTATAGAATATACATTTTGAAACCACGTTTTATATACTGTAGATATATATTTTGAAACTATACATTTTGTAGGATAGAGCAAATAATAATTACTTAAGAGAAAACACGCTGGGCACAGTGGCTCATGCCTGTAATCCCAGCACTTTGGAAGGCTGAGGCGGGAGGATCACTTGAGGTCAGGAGTTTTAAGTCCAGCCTGGCCAACATGGTGAAACCTCATCTCTACTAAAAATACAAAAAATTAGCTGGGCATGGTGGCGCGCACCTGTAGTATCAGCTTCTCAGGAAGCTGAAGCAGGAGGAATAGCTTGAACCTGGGAGGCAGAGGTTGCAGTGAGCGAAGATTGCACCACTGCACTCCAGCCTGGATGACAGGGCAAGACTCCATTTAAAAAAAAAAAAAAAAAAAAGACACAGAAAAGAGAAATGACAATAAAATCATCAAAGAAATCATGTAAAGTTTCTGTAAGGTTAAATTTAAACTGGAAATATCAGTATCACGTCATGACTTTTTTCTTTGTAAAAAATACATATTTCCTGGCTCTGTCCACTAAAAAGACTTCCAAGTAATGACAACTCAATAACAATAAGGATCATAAGGGCCCAGACTTTTGCCTCTAACCATCATTCCCCACTACAAGGAAGCAGCACTTTTTAGAGGAATGACTGGTATCTGGGGAAAGAAATATGCAAAATAAACCTGAACATCTTGAGCAAGGAAACCAGGTAAGAGTAATGGGGTCACGTCACAAGAGAAACATGAAAGCGTTCCCATTGGCTAAAGATTAAAATTTTTGAGTATCTAAAGGGATAATGAATGTGATTGTTTGAAACACGTGGAATATATAAATCCATATGTTCATAGGGATGAAAAGAAAGATGGAAAGAAAGTCAGTTCAATGGCCACCACTGAAGGTAACTAGGGCACAAACTACTTACTCTGAAATTAATATTTAAAGGGAAAGAATTAAACATTTATCCTGTCTATCCTAGGTAAACTCCTTTTCCAGGTAACCAAATAGCCAAGTTGTTAAGGAAAAAGTTTTTCCTTACAGAAAAATTCCAGCTAATGAGGTAAGAATGACAGAGTTAGAAAAGCACCTATTTGTAACTCCTAGTAAAATAATCAAGGAAGCCAGCATGCATGGATGAAACAATTAGATACAAAGATAATGGGAAACTTAACAATGAAAGGACTGAGCTGTCACCACCTGAACCCACTGCTGAATCCCAATGTCACTAAAGTGATAGAGCCAGACACGGTGTGCCTCCTGATGTGATGCAATATGAAATTCACAGCACCATACCGATGTAGCATTCTTGCCCAAAAAGCAGAACCTAAATCTAATTGGGGCTTTAGAGCTAACTTCCAGTTTACAGGAAAAATGGGGGCTAAAGAAACATGTGAAGTAATCCAAAAAAGAGAACAAACAAATTCAGAACATGGACATTCTATGGGACAAATTGCCACATTTCTTCAACAAATCACTGTTGGTTGGTGGGTAGGAGATGCCAAGAAGACTACTGTCAGATAAACTATCTACAACTTAGTTATATTTTAATTAGAATAAATTAACTATAAAAAGACATTTTCAAGACAATCAAGGAAATTTGAAGGTGGACTTATTACTGAACAATACTATGGAATTATTGTTAGTTTTGCTAGGTAGGATAAAAGCACTGTAGTTATGTAGGAAAATATCCATACATTTTATAGCTGCACTCTATATTATGTAGACATACATGAAACAAGTATGGCAAAATCTTGATAATTGCTAATTCTAAGTCGGAGGTAAAAAGGGGCTCATTTTACTATTCTACTTTTGTGCATGTTGGAAAGCTTTTATAATAAAAATATTTAATGGCACACTCCACATAATAATCAAAGCTCTAACTTAAATTTAACATTAACTCTTCTTCTGCCCCAACTAGGGACTGCTGCAAGCTGGTGGCTTACAGCTGGAGAAAGAGTTATTGTCCATCTTTTCTTTTTGCCTGTCGATACTTTTCTTCCTCACTCGGCTGGCCAACTGGTTTCCCATCCCCACTAAGGACAGAGCAAGGTGAGGGTTGAATAAGATCAGAACTGAGAAGAGGTTAGAAAGGTTCTTATTTGACTGGACTGCCATAAGATGGCTTCGTTCTCTATGTCCTTGGCTGAATCATTGTAGTGGAATTTTAAGTCTCTACAGAGGTCTCACTGCAGGACCCATCAACTTCAATCCTAACATGCGGGACTGCTTCTCTTTCAGCTGACTAATCTAGATCTCCTTCAATTTCAGCTTCTGACAATATGGCTTCTGACAATATGCCCATAGCAATGTACTCCTGGGCTCCCCTTCCCCTGACAGGCTGCCCTCTGGGCAGGATCCCTTTAAAATGACCTCAGGCTAACGTCTTTACCACAGGTTTCACAGCCAGCCCTGGGGCTCACTTCCATTTGCCCTGCTGTGGGAGGTGATACAGTTTATCCAGACTCCGCCCTCCATCCTACAACCCTAGGCCTCCTTAATTCCCTCAGTAATAGATCAGGACTTTTGTCATTGTCTTGAAGCAAAAAATCATACTCTCCAAGGGGTTTTGTTGAAGCCCTTCTCACCACACTTACGATGATGCACAGATACACATGAGGGGCAGAGGGACAGGGGATGCACCCCCACAGTTCTCCCAATATAAATTCTCCTCAGAAAATTCTCCTCAGAAAATTCTCTCTCAGATTTTACCCTTGAATTTTTTATACACTCAATGTAAGTGAGAGAATTCAAAAGTTATATAACTCATTTTGTTATATTCTTTGAAATTTTGTGTTTGGATAATTTCTCACAACTCATTTTGACATCTGATATATTTGTTGGTGCTTCAGTTGAAATTCCAGTGTAAAACAAAAGTATGAATATATCATCATCAGGAGGTCAAAGTGGCTTTTTCCTTTTTTAAAGTAACCCAGAAACCACATCCTCTGTCAAATGGGTACACTTCAACAAAGTAGTCCATAATAGCTACCTTGCTTGTTATTATTTTAATTAATAGCAAATGCAGTGTGGTGGTTTTATAATATGGAACCAAAATTTTTTGACACTTCTCCATTAAAAGGTGGGTTGTTTATCCCCTCTTCTTAAACGTGGGTTCTATGGCCACTTGAACAATAAAATATAGTAGAACTTAATACTGTATTTACTTCTAGCAAAGACAGGCTGGCTTTCAGTCCCAAGTCTTTAAAAACTGGCAGCATCCACTTCTGGTCTCTTGCACCACTTGCTCAATGACTGCTCAGGACACCTAGTCATGATGCTGTGAGGAAGCTAAAGTCACCCCACAGAGTGGCTCACATGGAGAACTAACAGCCAGCATCAATTTGCCAGCCATCTTGAGTAAGACATCTTGGAAAAGGATACTCCAGCCCCAGGTGGGCTGCCCCAAGAACCCTGTATACAGCAGAGACAAGTGGTCCCCACCAAGCTCTACCCAAATTACAGATTCATGAGCAAAACAAGTGGTTATTTTAAGTCATTAATTTTTAGAGAAGTTGGTTATGCCTAAAGCACATACATATAATTTGGGACTCCGCTTCAAGAAGAAAAGTAAAAATTAAAAACAAAATGCTTAGGGGCTGAAGCTTGAGCTCTAGCAGCTTCAAGGTAAATTTAAACATTCTTCGGGATTCTAGAAGAAGAAAAAGGAGCTAAGGAAAAAAAAGTTTCATTTAGGCACCCGAATCATTAATAATTTGAATTTTACGTGTCACAGTATTAGCTAATAGCAGCTAACTTTACCAAGCACTACATGCTGTTTTAACTGCTTTACATGAAACTCAGTTAATCCTCCCAATAACCATCTAAAATATTGTATAATATAGGTACTATTAGTATGCCCATTGTGAAATGAGGAACCTGAGTTACAGAGGGATTAAATATATTCGCCAAATTACACTTTGGAAATGGCCAGGATATAAACCCAAGCCATCAGAGTCCAGCTCTTATACTCTTAACAAAATTCTAAATATACATTTTCTATTAACAAAGAAATCTTACTAATAGTCATATGGGAAAGATCATTTTCAAAATCACTATATCTATAGCACCTATCGTATTAAAAATACCATCAAATGAAACGTGCACATTTTACTCTCTTCTCTCTATAATCCAACTCAGTCTCTTATGGGCAGCACAGTCTGTTATTTCCAACATTAATGAATAGAAAAGCCCTTACACCTAGTGATTAACTATGTAATAAGAATGGTCATATTACATACAATTTCAAACCCACAGTGATTTACCATTTGCAAGGTAATTAGTTGTAGGCCTAGATGTTTTTTGTGGCTATCATGATACCTCAACAGAACAAAAGTAATGAAAAAATGCAAGTATGGGGCCCTAATTCTATGGTTACATTCATCTCCTATGCTGAAAGAAGTGTGCCAGGGGAGGGAGGGAAAAGTTTTTGGTAGCTAGAAGAGTAGGAATGGAATTTCCAAATGTATGGTGCCATGAAATCATAAAGATGTTAAAATATCACTAAAAATCATTATAAAACAAGTTTTGAGGCTGTAATAAAATGTGAAAGCAGAAATTGCCAGCTCAATGTTTTTTTCAAACTCATGTTAGAGTGCTTCAGTAAAAAAAGAATGAATTAATGACCAATTCCTAATATATATCACTCATGAATATTACTGAGAAATGAAAAATGAGATGAAGTAAAGTCTCTCGGAAGCTAAAAAGCTTCAGGAAAGTCTATTAATCATATATTATACTAAGGTCTCAACTACTAGGTATGCTACTGACTTATAAAAGCTAGGGCATTCTAGTCACCTGAAAGCATGAACAATTTCCAAAGTTTCCCGACTTTACTACTTAAATACTATATAAAACTGCCACACAATGATCAAATTGCTTTACAATAATACTCAAAGATTGTTTCCAATTATTTATACTTTTGGTAGAAAAATAAATCCTAGATAAGTTTTAGAAATATATTTATTATAGTGATGTTTTCAATTTAACACTACCCAATGAAAATACCTAATACAGATGTATTTATGATTGTACATTTATTTATATTAGAAAATTTAAGATACGAAGTGAATTCATTTTAAACTAAGCCAGGCATGGAGGGTTGCACCTGTGATCTCAGCCACTTGGGAAGCTAAAGCAGGAGGATCACTTGAAGACAAGTTTGAGACAAGCCTGGGCAACACAGAAAGACCCCATATCTTACAATAATGTTTTGTTTTTTAATTAGCTGGGCATGGTGGTGCACACTGATAGTCCCAGCTACTTGGGAGAATGAGGCAGGATAATCTCTTGAATCCAGGAGCTCAAGGCTGCAGTGAGCAATGATGATACCACTATACTCCAGCCTGGGTGACAGAGTGAGATCCCATCTCTAAAAAAAATTTATCAAAGTAAAAGAGTGGAGTAGGATTTATCAATAACAGAAAATTAAAAAGACCAGGAGTCACTATTCTTATATCAAATAAAACAGACTTTAAACCAATAAAAGTTAAGAAGGACAATGAAAGGTATTACAGAATGATAAAGGGTACAATCTGACAAGAAGCTCTGGCTATCCTAAATATATACACACCCAACTCTAGAGCACCCAGATTTATAAAACAATATCTTCTTGGCCTAAGAAAAGACTTTACACAACCATACAAAAATAGTGGGAGATTTCAACATTCCACTGACAGTGTTAGACAGATCATTGAGGCAAAAAATTAACAAAGAAATTCTGGAATTAAGCTTAACACTTGAGCAATTAGACCTAATATACATCTACAGAACACTCCACCCAACGACCACAGAATATACATCTTCTCATCTGCATACAGAACACATTCCAAAAAAAAAAAAAAAACACATGCTTGGTCATAAAGCAAGCCTCAATAAATAAAAAACAACTGAAATCATATACCAAGTACACTCTTGGACCACAGTGCAATAAAAATGAAAAGCAATACCAACAAAACCGCTCCAAATTACACAATACATGGAAATTAAACAACTGACTCCTAAATAACTCCTGGGTGAACATTGAAATTAAAATAGAAATGTAAAAATTATTTGAAACTAATGAGAGTAGAGACACAATTTACCAAAATCTCTGGGATACAGCCAAAGCAGTGTTAAGAAGAAACTTAATAGCCTTAAAACACCTTTATCAAGAAGTTAGAGCCCTGTCTGACAGCTCTGAAGAGAGCAGTGGTTCACCCAGCACGGCATTTGAGCTCTGAGAATGGACAAACTGCCTCCTTAAGTGGGTGCCAGAGCCCCGTGTGGCCTAACTGGGAGACACCTCCCAGTAGGGGCCGACAGACACCTCATACAGGCAGGTGCCCCTCTGGGACAAAGCTTCCAGAGGAAGGATCAGGCAACAATATTTCACTGGTGATGCCCAGGCAAACAGGGTCTGGAGTGGACCTCCAGCAAACTCCAATTGACCTGCAGATGAGGGACTTGACTGTTAGAAGGAAAACTCACAAACAGAAAGGAATAGCATCTACATCAACAAAAATGACATCCACACCAAAACCCCATCTGTAGGTCACCAACATCAAAGACCAAAGGTGGATAAAACCACAAAGATGGGGAGAAATCAGAGCAGAAAAGCTGAAAATTCTAAAAACTAGAGCACCTCTTCTCCTCCAAAGGATCACAGCTCCTCACCAGCAACGGAACAAAGCTGGACGGAGAATGACTTTGACAAGGTGACAGAAGTAGGCTTCAGAAGGTCGGTAATAACAAACTTCTCCGAGCTAAATGAGCATGTTCTAACCTATCGCAAGGAAGCTAAAAAAACTTGAAAAAAGGTTAGACGAATGGCTAACTAGAATAAACAGTGTAGAGGAGACTTTAAATGACCTGATGGAGCTGAAAAACATGGCACAAGAACTTCGTGACGCATGCACAAGCTTCAATAGCCAATTCGATCAAGGGGAAGAAAGGATAACAGTGATTGAAGATCAAATTAATGAAATAAAGTGGGAAGACAAGGTTAGAGAAAAAAGAGTAAAATAAAACGAACAAAGCCTTCAAAAAATATGGGACTATGTGAAAAGACCAAATCTACGTTTGATTGGTGTGCCTGAAAGTGACAGGGAGAATGGAACCAAGCTGGAAAACACTCTTCAGGATATTATCCAGGAGAACTTCCCCAACAGGAAACACAGAGAACACCACAAAGATACTCCTCCAGAAGAGCAACCCCAACACACATAACTGTCAGATTCACCAAGGATGAAATGAAGGAAAAAATGTTAAGGGCAGCCAGAGAGAAAGGTTGGGTTACCCACAAAGGGAAGTCCATCGGACTAACAGCGGATCTCTCGGCAGAAACCCTACAAGCCAGAAGAGAGTGGGAGCCAATATTCAACATTCTTAAAGAAATGAATTTTCAACCCAGAATCTCATATCCAGCCAAACTAAGTGAAGGAGAAAGCGGGAAGACAAGGTTAGAGAAAAAAGAGTAAAATAAAACGAGCAAAGCCTTCAAAAAATATGGGACTATGTGAAAAGACCAAATCTACGTTTGATTAGTGTGCCTGAAAGTGACAGGGAGAATGGAACCAAGCTGGAAAACACTCTTCAGGATATTATCCAGGAGAACTTCCCCAACAGGAAGTTTTACAGACAAGCAAATGCTGAGAGATTTTGTCACCACCAGGCCTGCCTTACAAGAGCTCCTGAAGTAACCACTAAACATGGAAAGGAACAATCGGTACCAGCCACTGCAATCACATGCCAAATTGTAAAGGCCATCAATGCTGTGAAGAAACTGCATCAATTAATGGGCAAAATAACTAGTTAACATCATAATGACAGGATCAAATTCACACATAACAATATTAACCTTAAATGTAAATGGGTTAAATGCCCCAATTAAAAGATACAGACTAGCAAATTGAATAAAGAGTCAAGACTCATCAGTGTGCTCTTTTCAGGAGACCCATCTCATGTGCAAAGATGCACATAGGCTCAAAATAAAGGGACGGAGGAAGATCTACCAAGCAAATGGAAAGCAAAAAAAAAGCAGGGGTTGCAATCCTAGTCTCTGATAAAACAGACTTTAAACCAATAAAGAAAGATCAAAAGAGACAAAGAAGGCCATTACATAATGGTAAAGGGATCAATTCAACAAGAAGAACTAACTATACTAAATATATCTGCACCCAATACAGGAGCACCCGGATTCATAAAGCAAGTCCTTAGAGACCTACAAAGAGACTTAGACTCCCACACAATAATAATGGGAGACTTTAACACCCCACTGTCAACATTAGACAGATCAACGAGACAGAAGGTTAACAAGGATATCCAGGACATGAACTCAGCTCTGCACCAAGTGGACCTAATAGACATCTACAGAACTCTCCACCCCAAATCAACAGAATATACATTCTTCTCAGCACCACATCACACTTATTCTAAAATTGACCACATAATTGGAACCAAAGCACTCCTCAGCAAATGTAAAAGAACAGAAATCACAACAAACTGTCTCTCAGACCACAGTGCAATCAAATTAGAACTTGGGATTAAGAAACTCACTCAAAACCACACAACTACATGGAAACTGAACAACCTGCTCCTGAATGACTACTGGGTAAATAACAAAATGAAGGCAGAAATAAAGATGTTCTTTGAAACCAATGAGAACAAAGACACAACATACCAGAATCTCTGGGACATACGTAAAGCAGTGTGTAGAGGGAAATTTATAGCACTAAATGCCCACAAGAGAAAGCAGGGAAGATCTAAAATCGGCACCGTAACATCACAATTAAAAGAACTAGAGAAGCAAGAGCAAACACATTCAAAAGCTAGCAGAAGGCAAGAAATAACTAAGATCAGAGCAGAACTGAAGGAGACAGAGACACAAAACACCCTTCAAAAAAATCAATGAATCCAGGAGCTGGTTTTTTGAAAAGATCAACAGAATAGGTAGACCGCTAGCAAGACTAATAAAGAAGAAAAGAGAGAAGAATCAAATAGACTCAATAAAAAATGATATATCACCACCGATCCCACAGAAATACAAACTACCATCAGAGAATACTATAAACACCTCTACACAAATAAACTAGAAAATCTAGAAGAAATGGATAAATTCCTGGACACATACAACCTCCCAAGACTACACCAGGAAGAAGTTGAATCTCTGAATAGACCAATAACAGGCTCTGAAATTATGGCAATAATTAATAGCCTACCAACCAAAAAAGTCCACGACCAGACGGATTCACAGCCGAATTCTACCAGAAGTACAAAGAGGAACTGGTACCATTCCTTCTGGAACTATTCCAATCAACAGAAAAAGAGGGAATTCTCCCTAACTCATTTTATGAGGCCAGCATCATCCTGATACCAAAGCCTGGCAGAGACACAACAAAAAAAGAGAATTTTAGACCAATATCCCTGATGAACATCGATGCAAAAATCCTCAGTAAAATACTGGCAAACGGAATCCAGCAGCACATCAAAAATCTTATCCACCACAATCAAGTCGGCTTCATCCCTGGGATGCAAGGCTGGTTCAATATACACAAATCAATAAACGTAATCCATCACACAAACAGAACCAACGACAAAAACCACATGATTATCTCAATAGATGCAGAAAAGGCCTTCAACAAAATTCAACAGCACTTCATGCTAAAAACTCTCAATAAACTAGGTATTGATGGAATGTATCTCAAAATAATAAGAGCTATTTATGACAAACCCACAGCCAATATCATACTGAATGGGCAAAAACTGGAAGCATTCCCTTTGAAAACCAGCACAAGACAAGGATGCCCCTCTCACCACTTCTATTCAACATAGTGTTGGAAGTTCTGGCCAGGGCAATCAGGCAAGATAAAGAAATACAAGGTATTCAATCAGGAAAAGAGGAAGTCAAATTGTCTCTGTTTGCAGATGACATGATTGTATATTTAGAAAACCCCATCATCCCAGCCCAAAATTTCCTTAAGCTGATAAGCAACTTCAGCAAAGTCTCAGGATACAAAATCCGTGTGCAAAAATCACAAGCATTCCATACACCAATAATAGACAGAGAGCCAAATCATGAGTGAATTCCCATTCACAGTTACTACAAAGAGAATAAAATACCTAGGAATCCAACTTACAAAGGATATGAAGGATCTCTTCAAGGAGAACTACAAAGGACTGCTCAACGAAATAAAAGAGGACACAAACTAATGGAAGAACCTTCCATGCTCATGGATAGGAAGAATCAATAACATGAAAATGGCCATAATGCCCAAAGTAATTTATAGATTCAATGTTATCCCCATCAAGCTACCACTGACTTTCTTCACAGAATTGGAAAAAACTACTTTAAACTTCATATGGAACCAAAAAAGAGCCCACATTGTCAAGACAATCCTAAGCAAAAACAACAAAGCTGGAGGCAACACACTACCTGACTTCAAACTATACTACAAGGCTACAGTAACCAAAACAGCATGGTACTGGTACCAAAACAGATACATAGATCAATGGCACAGAAAAGAGGCCTCAGAAATAACACCACACATCTGCAACCATCTAATCTTTGACAAACCTGACAAAAACAAGAAATGGGGAAAGGATTCTTTATCTAATAAATGGGGCTGGGAAAACTGGCTAGCCATATGTAGAAAGCTGAAAAATGGATCCCTTCCTTGTACCTTATACAAAAATTATTCAAGATGGATTAAAGACTTAAATGTTTGACCTAAAACCATAAAAACCCTAGAAGAAAACTTCAGCATACCATTCAGGACATAGGCATGGGCAAGGGCTTCATGACTAAAACACCAAAAGCAATGGCAACAGAAGCCAAAATTGACAAATGGGATCTAATTAAACTAAAGAGCTTCTGCACAGCAAAAGAAACTACCATCAGCATGAATAGGCAACCTACAGAATGAGAGAAAATTTTTGCAATCTACCCATCTGACAAATGGCTAATATCCAGAATCTACAAAGAACTTAAACAAATTCACAAGAAAAAAAACAAACAACCCCATCAAAAAGTGGTCAAAAGGATATGAACAGACACTTTTCAAAAGAAGTCACTGATGCAGCCAACAGACACATGAAAAAATGCTCATCATCACTGGTCATCAGAGAAATGCAAATCAAAACCACAATGAGATACAATCTCATGCCAGTCAGAATGGCAATCATTAATAAGTCAGGAAACAGATGCTGGAGAGGATGTGAAGAAATAGGAACGCTTTCAGACTGTTGGTCAGTGGGACTGTAAATTAATTCAACCATTGTGGAAGACAATGTGGCGATTCCTCAAGCATCTAGAACAAGAAATACCATTTGACCCAGTGATCCCATTAGTGGGTATATACCCAAAGGATTATAAATCATGCTACTATAAAGACACATGCACACGTATTTTTGTTGCGGCACTATTCACAATAGCAAAAACTTGGAACCAACCCAAATGTCCATCAGTGATAGACTGGATTAAGAAAATGTGGCACATATACACCATGGAATAGTATGCAGCCATAAAAAAGGATGAGTTCATGTCCTTTGCAGGGATATGGATGAAGCTGGAAACCATCATTCTCAGCAAACTATCACAACAACAGAAAACCAAACACCACATGTTCTCACTCATAGGTGGGAACTGAACAATGAGAACACCTGGACACACAGCGGGGAACATCACACACTGGGGCTTGTCGTGGGGCGGGGGGCTGGGGGAGGGATAGCATTAGGAGAAACACCTAATGTAAATGACGGGTTGATGGGTGCAGCAAACCAACATGACACATGTATACCTATGTAACAAACCTGCACATTGTGCACATGTACCCTAGAACTTAAAGTATAATAATAATAATAGAATCCCACCCTTAAGCAGAGGACTGGAAGCAGTGCTGGGATGTCTTGTCTGAATTGCGCATGGCAATGTAATGAACAGGAAATAAAGAGGGACATTCTTTGATGAGTCTCAGGCTCTTGGGGTTGTGCAACCATTTCACAGGGATCAAGATAAATCACTTTGTCTTCTGCTCCAGTGAGGGGAGGCCTTACTAACCTCGGCCACCCCTAGGGGCACACCAGGAGCAGCAGAGACTGGCTTCCTGGAGTCCAGGCAGCACTGCGACCCTGGAGAATGGTGTTCTGTGCCTAGGAGGCAGATTTGGATCATGCCTGAGAATTCACCAGGATGACCCGCCCCCATGTAAGCCCTCTGGGAATAATCCGAACAGTTTCCACTTGTCAGCCTCCAGTTAGAGGGAGTCTGCCTCTCATGGTCAAAGTTGCCAGGCCTGTAGACAAAACCCTGGGGCAAGGCAGGTCCCCAAAGCCATCGTGGAGACAGGATTGGTCTAGGATGAAGCTTTCGCTGTCCATTCATGGGAGGAGAAACCCCTGGAAAATGAAGGCAAGGTAAGCGGCCAGCTGCCTCTGTTTGAAAAGGGCCATCCTGCAATCTGAGCTCAGAATTCTTTGACTACTTCCTTTGTATTAAAATATCCCTTTTTACCAGCCTGGCCAATACGGTGAAACCCCATCTCTACTAAAAATACAAAAATTAGCTGGGCGTGATGCATACACCTGTAATCCCAGCTACTGAGGAGGCTGAGTCATGAGAATTGCTTGAATCCGGGAGGCAAAGGTTGCAGTGAGCTGTGATCATGCCACTGCACTCCAGCCTGGGTGACAGAGTGAGACTCTGTCTCAAAGAATAAAATAACATAACACAAAATAAAATAAAATAAAATGTCTTTTTTAAAAGTAAAAAAAAAGTTAGAAAGGTCTCAAATCAACAATATAACTTTGCACCTAAAAAAAACTAGGAAAAAAAGAACAAACCAATCCCAAAGCTACCCACAGAAAAGAGATAACTAAAATTAAAGAACTTAACAAAATCAAGATGCAAAATTCATTCAAAAGATTAATGAAACCAAAAATTGGATCTTTGAAAAAAAATAAATAAAATTGATAAACCCCTGGCTAGATTAACAAAGAAACAGAAAGAGAAGATCCAAATAAGCACAATCTGAAATGACAAAAGTTATATTACAACTGATTCCAGAGAAATATAAAAAATCCTCAGAGCCTAGTATGAACAACTCTATGCACTCAAATTAGAAAATCTAGAGGAAAAGGATACACACCTGCAAGCACAAAATCTCCCAAGACTGAATCAGGAAGAGCTTGAAACCCTGAACAGACCACTATCAACTTCTGAAATTAAATTAGTGATAAGGAACCTAACAACCAAAACATATCCTGGACCAGATGGATTCACAGCTGAACTCTACCAGACGTACAAGGAACTGATATCAATCCCACTGAAACTAATTCCAAAAATCTAGGAGAATGGGCTTCTCCCTAACTCACTCTATGAAGCTGGCGTCAACCCGATATGATTCTATATCTAGAAAATCCTAAAGACTCCACAAAAAGGCTCCTAGAATTGATAAACAATTTTAGTAAACTTTCAGGATACAAAATCAATGTACAAAAATCAGTAGCATTTCTATACACAAAGTTCAGGCTGAAAGTTAAATCAAGAACAGAATCCCACCTATAATAGCCACAAAGAAAATGAAATACCTAAGAATACAGCTAACCAAGGAGGTGAAAGATCTCTATAAGGGGAACTACAAAACATTACTGAAAGAAATCAGATGACACAAATGAAAAAATATTCTATTCTTATGGATTGAAAGAAACAATATCATAAAAACATCCATACTGACCAAAGCAATTTACAGATTCAATGCGATTCCTATCAAACTACCAACATCATTCTTCACAGAATTTAAAAAAAAAAAACTATTCTGAAATTAACATGGAACCGAAAAAGAGCCTCAATAGACAAAGCAATCCCAAGCATAAAGAGCAATGCTGGAGGCATCACACTACCAGATGTCAAACTATACTATAAAGCCACAGTAACCAAAACAGCTTGTTACTGGTACAAAAGCAGAAACAAAGACCAATGGAACAAAATAGAAAACAGAATAGAAATAAAGCTGCATACCTACAACCATCTGATCTTTGACAAGGCCAACAAAAACAAGCAATGGGGAAAAGACTCTCTATTCAATAAATGGTGTTGGTATAAACATGCACACATGCTCACATGCACACGTGCACACACACACATGAATGAACAATATCTGACAAATTATGCTTTGGTAAATGGGACTTAATTTTTACTTAATGCCCAGTTCTCAATCAAGTGATTTATTAAATTTCTCTCATTTAAAAAAACAACATTTTAAAACTTCAATAATTTGTCTCAGAAGAAAACAATAATTTATTTCTCATTTTGGCAGTTCATCCAACATACAGTCATAGACTGCATAATGATGTTTCAGTCAGTGATGGACCAGGTATATGATGGTGGTCCATAAGGTTATAATATTGTATTTTTACTACACCTTTTCTAGGTTTAGGTATGTGTAGATACACAAATTCTTACCTTGGTGTTATAATTACCTACAGTATTCAATACAGTAGCATGCTGTACAGGTTTTTAGCCTAGGAGCCATAGGATATACATATAGCCCAGCTGTGTGGTTCATTATACCATCTAGGTTTGTGTAAGTACACTCTATGATGTTTGCATGATGACAAAATCACCTAAAAACACATTTCTCAGAAGATATCCTCATCATTAAGCAATGCATGACTGTAATTTAGATAAGTCTCCACCAAAAAGACAGAAGCCATCAGGGAATGGATTCAGTGGGAATCAGATAATATTCAACCACATTTCTGATTTTAGCAATATCCTGGAGAGCTCAATCATTATGCCAACCAATACCATACTTCCTTTCTTAGGAAAAGCTACATCCCAGTGCTGAAGGGAAAAACTGAATTGGAAAGCATTACTTTATTGTGTTTCCTCACAATCTGGTGGCCTTAAATTTCTTACTTAATTAGTAGATCTATACACGGAGAGATCTAAGGGAAACCTTCAAGCCATCTGTGATGCATTTGCCCCATAACTTGATCCTGAGTTTAACAAAATATACAGAAGAATGGGGACAAATTCCTTTTAAATGCCACCTGTCTGTTTTATCCACCCTTCCTGGTAGGTGAGGAAGGGCATGAATACATTCTCTGACGTATCCTTCCTCCTATCCAGTCCATTCTAATTCCAATTTCCCCCAATTACTTTATTTTCTCCTCTCTCACAGTACAGGAGATCCTTCCCTTTTCCAAGGCTAGTCCCAAAACACGTATCCTACGGTCTCAACTTTTTTCCTTTGAAAATTATTCACTCTTTTTTCTCTACATCCATCAAAGCATAATTTGTTAGATATTGTTAATTCATGTGTGTGTGCACGTGCGTGTGCGTGTGTGAGCATGTGTGCACATTTATACCAACACCATTTATTGAATAGACAGTCTTTTCCCCATTGCTTGTTTTTGTTGGCCTTGTCAAAGATAAGATGGTTGTAGGTGTGCAGTTTTATTTCTATTCTGTTTTCTATTTTGTTCCATTGGTCTTTGTTTCTGCTTTCGTACCAGTTCATTCACATGTATTTGGTGAATGAATGGATGACTGGATGGATGACATATTCTTCAGAAGAACTTTTTTATTTTATTTTACTTTATTTTATTTTATATTATTGACATCAAACCTGCTTAAATACAGAAGTCATGCAAAAGGTCACCAAGTACTTCTGACACCCTCTTTAAATGCCTCCTTTATCCTTCATTTAACATTGTTTTGCTGCTACCCAAAACAAGAGCTTATCAACATACATCCACTGTTATTGCCTTTATTAATTTGCTCTCTTCTGCCCATTCCAATCAGCCTTCTCTACATTACCAACAGAATAGTCTTCAAAAGACTATTTTTATATCAGTCTGTAGTTCAAAAACTGACAGTGATTCCATAATATCTAACAAGAGGTAGGGGGAAGCCCTAATGTTTGCTCTGAAAATCCAAACCAGTGCAAATGTCAGGGTAAGGACCTCCTAAAATCCTCTGCTCCATAAAAATAATGAGAAAACTAGCAAAAACTGTCAGAATCAATGCTTGCAGAACTTCAGAAATTAACCAAGGGCTTGCAGGATTCCAAGGAGCATTTATTAAAGAAATACAGCTGAATCTCCAGGAAATCAGTGAACTTTATTACATTTAAACTTGACCTATTCCCACACAACTCTCCCAGCCTCCAAAGTCACCTTAAAAACTAACAGCCTGCAATAACAGTTAAAACCAGCATCCTGGCAGCCACTGAAGGGAACAGAATGGGGTAGGAAAGCCATCAAAGCCCAATTCACAGAGTTGTCATTGTTTGATCTATCTAGTGGTTTCTTGAAGACTTCACTCACCACAGTATCTTTATTTGACCTGACTCAAAGTTTGCCCAGTATTTGAAAGCCTTTTCCTTAGAGGCACTTGTCAAAAATGTTTATAGACAATTATGTAACATAATAGCTGCCAGAGGTAATAGATAACAGCTGGGAAAACAATAAGCTAACTAAAAGCTTAAAAGGAAAGACTGGGCAATGAGACATTTATTGCAAATTTAAAAATTTCTGACATATTCCTAGAACCTAGAAGATGACACACAAGTATAAGGCTGTGCACATGTTCATGAAAAACCTGTAAAAGCCCTACATTCTCACCTCTGGCTGGTTTTGAGGCTGTGTGCAAAGAGGAAGTGAAGGTTAGGCAGAGTTGAAAATTTTCTGGCTGAATGCTAAAGGTATTCTTCAACACGCACATGGAGCTCCCAAGCAAAAACTGGGAGACTTACTGTTTCCCAGGATTTAAGAAAATCTCTGTCCACTCATTAGCTGACCACTAAGCTAACCAAGCAGAGACTGCAATGGCCACACATAACAAAGAGTACATACTTTAAAAAGACTTCAGAAAATTCACTAAACAAACAACAATAAAATCAGGGACAACAACAAACCCTAGGAAGAGGGAGAATCTGAACTTCAAAGCCATACAGTTTCTTAAAAAAGAAAAATACCAAGCATGGAAAGAAACAAGAAAATATGAGCAATACACAGGAAAAAAGTAATCGATAAATACTGTCCCTGGAGAACATACCAGATGTTAGACTTACTAGACAAAGACTTTGTATCAACTGTTTTAAATATATTCAAAGAACTAAGGGAAATCATGTCTATATAAACAATAAAAAGTATAAAAATGATTTCTCATCAAATGAATGATATCAAAAAGATAGTTTAAAAAAAAAAAACAGAAATCTGGAGTTGAGAAGTAAAATAACTACATTGAGAAATTCACAGAGGGGCTCAACAGCTGATTTAAGCAGCCAGAAGAGTGAATCAGTGAACATGAAAGTAACTGAAATTACCCAGGCTGAGGAACAAAAAGACAAAATAAGGAAGAAAGATGAACAGAGCCTCAGAGTCCTATAGGACTCCACAAAATATACCAACATAGACCTAGTGGAACTCCCAGAAGAAGACTAACAACAGAAAGTAGTTAAAGAAATATGGCTGAAGAAATAATGGCTGAAGGCTTCCCAAATCTGATTTAAAAACATTAATCTACATATCTAAGAAGCTCAGTAAACTCTAAGTAAAATAAACACAAAGAGATCCACATGTAGACATATACGAAACTGCCAAAGCAAAAGACAAAGAGAGAATCACGAAAGAGGAAGGAAGAAGAAAATTATCACATAAAAGTGATATCCTGATTAATATCTGATTTCTCCTCTAGCCTAGGAGGCTAGAAGGCAGTGATGTATTCAAAGTGCTGAAAGACAATAAACCAAGGATACTATATGCAACAAAATTGTCATTCCAAAATTAAGAAGAAATTAAGACTTTCCTGGATAAACAAAAAGTGAGACACTATGTGGTTAGCAACTTTCCTTTCCAGAAATACTAAAAGGAGTCTTTCAGGGTGAAATGAAAGAACATTAGAGAGTAACTTGAATCCACAGAAAAAAATGTAAAGTGCCAGAAAAGGTCACATGACAGATAAATATAAAAGATGGCATAAATGTACTTTTATTATAACTACTTTTAGCCTCTCTGATTGAAAAGACAACTACATAAAGCAATAATAATAGATTTGTGCTAAAGAGTATATACTGTATAAAAAAGGAATTTGTACCACAATAACAGCACAAAGCAGGGGCAGAAATGAAACTATATAGGAGCAAAATTATTGCACGCTATTGAAATTAAGTTGTTATTAATCTGAGCTAGATTATTATAGGTTAGGATATTAAATGTAATCCCCAGGGTAACCAATAATAAAATTAATGAAAAGAATATAATAAAAGAAACAACCACAAAATTAAAATGATACACTAGAAAATATCTATGTAAAATAAAAGAAGGCAGTAAAAGAGGAACAGGGGATGAAAAGGGACATAGACTCAAAAAACAAATAGCAAAATGGTAGACATCAATCCTACCTTATCAGTAATTACATTAAATATTACTGGATTAAATACTCCAATTAAAAGGCAGAAGTCATTAGAATGAATTGGAAAAAATGACCTAACTATATGCTCTTTATAAGTGATTCACTTTAAACTCAAAGCCACAAACAGGTTGAAACTAAGAATGAGAAAAAAAAAAAAAAAAAAAAAAAAAAAATATATATATATATATATATATATATATATATATCATGCAAACAGAAACCAAAAGAAAGCTGAAGTGACTATATTCATTACTATGGTCTGAATGACCTCTCCAAAACTCATACTGAAATTTAATTGCCATTGTAACTAACGGTGTTGAGAGGTAGGACCTTTAAGAGGTGATTACATTATGAAGGCTTTGCCCTCATGAATGGAACAATACTGCTATTAGGGGGGTGGGTTAGTCATCACAGGAGTGGCCTCCTGATAAAAGGATAAGTTTGGTCTAATTTCCCCTCTCTGTCTCACATGCTTGTTTGCCCTCTAACTTTCCATCCTGGAATAACATAGCACAAAAGCCCTTGCCAGATACCAGAGCCAAGTTCTTGGACTTTCCAGCCTCCAAAACTGTAAGTCAAATAAACTTCTATTGCTTATAAACTACCCAATCTCTGGTATTCAGAAAATGGACTAAGACATTAATATTGGACAAAATAGACATTAGGACAGAAAATGTTGCTACAGACAAAGAAGGATATTTTATAAAGATAAAGGGCTCAATTTATCAGAAAGATGTAACAATTGTAAACCTACAGGCACATAAAAAGCCAATCCCAAAACACATGAATTAAAAACTGACCAAATTGAGGGGAAAAACAGACAATTTAACAATTATAGTTAGTGACTTTAGTACCCCATGTTCAATACTGAATATAACGACTAAATAAAAGATTAACAAGAAAAGGGAAGAGTTAAAAAATACTGTAAACTAACTAGACCTAATACACATCTATAGAACACTTCACCCCACAACAGCAGAATACATATCTTATCAAGTACACATGAAGCAGTCTCCAGAAGAGATAATATGTAAGGTCCTAAACCAAGTCTCAATAAATTTAAAGAACTTTAATCATACAAAGTATATTCTCCAACCATAAGAGAATGAGATTAGAAATTAATAACAGAAAAAAGTGCAAAATGTACAAACATGTTGAAATTAAACAGCACACTCCTAAATGACCAAAGGATCAAAAAAGAGAGCACATGTAAATTAGAAAATAATTTGAGATTAATGAAAATAAAATCAGAGCATACCAAAACTTATGGGATGCACCTAAAGCAATGCTTGGAAGAGAATTTACAGGCACAAATGCATATATTAAAAAAAGGAAAGATCTCAAATAAAGAACCTAAACTGCCACCTTAAGAAAGTAGAAAAAAACAGGCAAACTAAACCCAAATCAAGCAGAAGGAAACAAAGAAAAAATATTTGAGTGGGAACAAATAAAATATAGAATAGAAATACAACAGAGAAAATCAACAAAAGTAAAAGTTGGTTCTTTGAAAAGATAATAAAAGGGACTGGGCATGGTGGCTCATGCCTGTAATCCCAATACTTTGGGAGGCCGAGGCGGGTGGATCACTTGAGGTCAGGAGTTTGAGACCAGCTGGCCAACATGGTGAAACTCTGTCCTACTAAAAATACAAAAATTAGCTGGGCGTGGTGGCAGGTGCCTGTAATCCCAGCTACTCAGGAGGCTGAGGCAGGAGAATCGCTTGAACCCAGGAGGCGGAGGTTGCAGTGAGACAAGATCGCACCACTGCACTCCCACTCCCGCCGGGGTAACAGACCAAGATTCTGTCAAAAAAAAAAAAAAGATAACAAAACTGACAAAACTTTGGCTAGATTAAGAAAAAAGGGAAGAAGATTTGAATTACTAAAATGAGAAATTCAAAAGGGGTCATTGCTACCAACTTTACAGAAATAAAACTGAGTATATAAAGCATGACCATGAACAATTACATGCCAACAAACTAGATAACCTAGAAGTAAACAAATCCCTAGGAAGATACGAACATCCAAAATTGACTCAAAAAGAAATTAAAAATCTGAATATGCCCACAACAATTAAATAGATTGAATTAGTAATTGCAAAACTTACCATGAAGAAAGTCCAGGACCAGATGGTTTCACTGGTGAATTCTACCAAATGTTTAAGGAATAATTAACATCAACCCTTCACAAACTTAAAAATATATATATAAAACACAAGACTTCCCAAACCATTTTATAAGGCCAGTATTACCCTGATACTAAAACCAGACAAAGACATTATGGAAAAAAAGAACCAAGAAAAAAACTAAGACAAGTATCCCTTATGAATATTGACACAAAAACTCTTAACAAAATACTAGCAAACCAAATCCAGTAACATATAAAACAAATGATACACTATATAACCAAATTAGATCTATCCAAGAATGCTACATTGGTTCACCATCAAGAACCAATTAATGCAATGTACCAAATTAATAGAAAAAAAGCAGAGGGAATCACATGATCATCTCAAAAGACACAAAAAAAGCACTTGAAAAAAATCAACATCTTTTTATTATACAAATTAGGAATAAAGGGATAATTCTCCAATCTGACAAAGGGTATCTATAATGGGTATCCACATCATACTTAATGCTGAAAGACCAAAAGTTTTCTCTCTAAGATCACAGGACAAGACAAGGATCTCAGCTCTCATTATTTCTATTCAGCACTTTACTGGAAGTTCTAGGCAGGACAATTAGGCAAGAAAAAAAATAAAACGTATCCTTGGAAAAGATAAATTAAACTATATCTACAGATGACATGATATTGTATATAGAAAATCCTAAAAACACCATACATAAAAAAATAAAAGAGTTCAGCAAGATTACAGAATACAAAATCAATATACAAGAATCAATTGTTATTTCTATACATTAGTAATGAAGAATTCAAAAATAAAATTAAGAAAATAATTGCATTTACAACATAATTAATAAAACAATAAAATGCTTAGGAAGAAATTTAACAAAATATGTAAAATAATCAAGACTGTGAGGTACTGGCAGAAAACTAGATCAACAAAATAGAGTTGAGTCCAGAAATAAAACCATACATTTATAGTCAATTAATTTTTGACAGTGAAGCCTAGCCAATTCAATGAAAAAAGAATGATTTATTCAGCAAATGGAACCTGGATAATTGGATATCTATGTGCAAATGAAGGAAGCTTATATCATATTAAAAATTAACACAAAATGGAATAAAAACCTAAATGTAAAAGCTTAAACTATAAAACTCTTAGATGAAAGCATGGGTATAAATTTTTGTGACCTTGTATCAGGCAACAGTTGTTTAGCTGTGACACCAAAAGTATAAGCAACCAAAGGAAAGTTAAATAAATTAATTCAACAAAATTAAAGACATTTTGCTTCACAGGACACCATCAAGAAAGTAAAAAGACAACCCACACAATGAAAAAAAATTGCAAATGATATATCTGATAAGGGATTAGTATCTAGAGTATGCGAAGAACTCTTATGACTCAATAAAAAACAAAAACAAAAACAAAATCCTATTTTTAAAATGGGCAAAAAACCTGAATAGAAATTTCTCCAAAGGAGATACACAAATGACCAACAAGCATATGAAAAGGTTCTCAACATCATTAGTCATTAAGGAAATACAAATCAAAACCCGAATGAGATACCACTTCACACCGAATAGGATGGTTAACATAAAAAGACAGAGAGAAATCAAAACTCTCATACATTGCTGGTGGGCATATACAATGGTAAACACACTTTAGAAAACAGCTGGAAATTCTTCAAAAAATGAAGCACAGGGTGACAATATGACCTAGCAATTCCACTCCTAGATGGGCCACTACGAGAACAAAAAACTTATGTCAGCACAAAAAAAACTTGTATACAAATGCTTAAAGCAGCATTATTTATAATAGTCAAAAAGTAAAACCAATGCAAACACCCATCTATTTATAAATGCATAAATGAAAGGTGGCATATCCATACTCTGGAATATTATTTGGCATTTACAAAAGGATTGAAGTATTGCTACATGGTACAACATGGATGAATCTTTAAAACATCATGCTAAGTGAAAGTACACACAAAAGGCCACATATTGTATGATTCCATTTATACAAAATGCCCAGAATAGGCACATCTATAGAGATAGAAAATAGATTACTGGTTTCCAGGAATTGGAAGGCAGTGGAGAAAGGTGGGATAGAGAGCAAAAGCTAATGGGTAGAGAGCTTCTTTTGGAGGTGATGAAAATGTTCTGGAATAGACAGTGGTGATGGTTGCACAACTTTTTTTTTGAGATGGAGTTTTGCTCTTGTTGCCCAGGCTGGAGTGCAGTGGCGGGATTTCAGCTCACTGCAACCTCTGTCTCCCGCGTTCAAACGATTCTCTTGACTCAGCCTCCCAAGTAGTTGGCAATACAGGCGCCCGCCAACACGCCCAGCTAATTTTTTTGGATTTTTAGTATAGACAGGGTTTCACCATGTTGGTCAGGCTGGTCTCAAACTCCTGACCTCAGGTGACCCGCCCACCTTGGCCTTTCAAAGTGTTGGGATTACGGGAGTGAGCCACCACGCCCAGGCCACAACTTTTTAAATATATTAAACGCCGGCCGGGCGCGGTGGCTCACGCCTGTAATCCCAGCACTTTGGGAGGCCGAGGCGGGCGGATCACGAGGTCAGGAGATCGAGACCATCCTGGCTAACACGGTGAAACCCCGTCTCTACTAAAAATACAAAAAATTAGCCGGGCGCAGTGGCGGGCGCCTGTAGTCCCAGCTACTCGGGAGGCTGAGGCAGGAGAATGGCGTGAACCCGGGAGGCGGAGCTTGCAGTGAGCCGAGATCGCGCCACTGCACTCCAGCCTGGGCGACAGAGCGAGACTCCGTCTCAAAAAAAAAAAAAAAAAAATATATATATATATTAAACGCCATGGAAATGTGTACTTTGAAAGGTGATTGTTTTTCATATGTGAATTATCTATCAATTTAAAAAACAATCAAACCTCTGCACTTCCAGCTATCTCTTTCTCTTCTTTCAACATTTCCAGCCAGGTTAATCTAATACGTGTCTGGGACAAAACACTTGTATTATTCATGCTTCTGCACCTTTAATCTAAGCTAGTCCCAGTCCTCTCTACCTTTTTCCACTCCCTCTCTTCCACCATTTTTCAAAGTCCCAATCAAGTCCCACTTTTTCCAGAACACTCTCCAACCTTAGCTTACTAGTCTGCCAGAGAAGGAACAAGCTCTCTTCATTTCATTCCTGCTCATCAACACTGTTGAAATTAGTTAAATAAAACTAATGATTCTAACTATAACCGTAACAAAAGCTTTATAATCGCAGATTGGAAATATAAATGAAAATCAATTCTTTCACATATGTTCTCAAAATTATACTGATCACTTGTAAGACATATCTAAAACACTTCTTTCTATTATGCCTTCTTTCAGTTAAACATTACTTGAAGAATGAAAAATGTACTATTTTACCTCCAAATAATTACACAAGTACATCTATGCAAAAACAGTGTTACACCAAAAGATGAGCTACACTGAATTGCTGGTCCATGACATGGATTACAGGAAAATATCATCCTAATTATCCTAACAAAAGGATTACCATACCATACAGTGGCTCCTTCAGAGAAATATGAGTGTATACATGAAGTATATTAATACTACCTAATTGTCAAAATTCACGACTAAAGAAGCTGACAAAAATCTTATTTTCAATTAGCACACAGTACAAAACCTTTATTTCCACAATATGCCTCAGAGCACTTATTCATTTGTTGTAACACTTTAGAATCTTTTCTCTTTTAAACCTATTCCCAACAAAATTCTTTCTGGCATAAAGGAATTGCACCTTCTTTGTTAATTTTGAGTCATGTTAACTGAATTAATCCCAGCATGTATGCCCTATGCTTATTGTGCATACTGCATGAGAAACCATTAACAGTGCACACAATGACTTTTTGGAGTTGCATTTTATTTGAAGCTATTGTATGTCTTTCAACCTGTGCCACATTTCAATAATGACTATTTATAATTACAGTCATCCCCTTATTTGCTTGGTATTTCATTTTCCTTGCCCTATGGCACCCTACAGTTGAAGGCAAGGAAAACTCTCTGTTGATTAGTTATTTAAGACCAGCAACAATAACTATGCTGGAGAGAAGGCTACTTGGAAAGGATTACATAAGACCTAGCACTCAACAGCCTCAGACAGAGCAGCAAATTATAAACCCAAGTACTTCGTTGCATGTAACCAAATTGGCTAGTTGAAATGCTAATTGCCTTTCAGCAAAACTGAAGACAGACAGGGGACCTTGTGCTTCAGAGAATGAAATGCATTTTTACTCCACTTCTATACCATTGTCTTGCTGAGAATCATTTGAAATCTATTCATAAAGGTAGCTCTTTCCCTAACCTTTAAAATGTGGGAAATTTATTTGGCCCCTACCAGCACCTCAGACATGCTGATGTGCCAAGATGCGAACAGATGGTTGGATTAAAGCCATGTTAAGCCCCTAATAAAGTGAAGCATGAAAAATCTCTCTGCTCAAATGTATAGTATAAACAAAGAAAATATGCCTAGGGAAAGAAGTTTTGAATAACAAATAGATTTATGAAATTAAAATAACCAGAAAACATAATCTTCAAAACAAATATTTTCAATGTAATTACATCCGAATGCATACAGAAAGAGCTATTGTCTCTCTCAAAGAGATGCCCCAACTTTTCTTTATACTTAATAATTTTGTGAGTATTACTTCAAGACTCATTTATGGACAATGATTCCAGCAGCCAGTGTTTCCCTTTAATATAAAAGAGGGTCCATTCTAGGTTTTCAGAATCCTGAATAAATGAATGAGAAATGCCCTATCAGCATCTTGCCCTGGCTTTGAGGTAAAGCCAGACTTACGCGTGACTGCACCAGAAAAGGGCCCCATGACCACCTGCCCAGCAGCTCGGGGAGGGACTTGGTCTGGTACATTTTTAAGTGTATAGTGTGTCACAGTAGAATCGGAAAACACAGCCTTTGTATTACCACAGCCGCTTGTGCCTCAGCTCCACCCTTCTCCTCCTCTGCCACACCTCACTCAGGGCAACAGAGCTGGGGTGCTGTGGCTTCATGTGTGGCCTAAGATCCTGGCATATTGGAGAACCCTCCATGCATGCAAAAGATGCTCCCTGTGCTCCCAAACCTACCTTGTGAAAGGAAAAAATTAGGCATACGATGTGAGGAAATCAACTTTCTGTACTACTCCATTCTACATGGAGTAGACTCTAGTTTATTAGTAGTATGTTTATCTTCATTGCTCAACAAATATCTTTATTTACATAAAGTCTGAACTGCCCAGGAGTAATGGAATACTAAAACTAAATAGAACTTTACTGTAAATGGTTTCAATAAATAATTCAGCTCTCACCCTGATTCGACAGGAGTTAAGAGAAGAAAGACCTCTCTGGCTGGCTGTTCACCAAAACCTTTAGACTGGGGAGGTTCTGGTGATTTTTTCATTATTTCTTTACTGTCTGAATTTCCTGCATGACTTTGCATTATCTTTGCACTCAGAAAAAAAAGTTATTTCCAAATCAAAAGAACAGAGTGGTGGGGAGGTAAATTGAACTGTGTGTGATACTTAGCTATGCAATTTGTCCCCCCAAAATCAGGGAAATACACATCCAAATCTCTCCATGGTAACACACTGCATTTTATAACCAAATTAAATAATTATCTAAGAAGCTCATTACACTTTGTAAGCATCATAAATTGTCTAGTTGCCCTCTACATGAAGTGAAAAATGGTGATGGCATTGTGCTTCCACTGTGTAGATTTCAGACCTGGTGCATAAAATAATGACTTATCAAAGGCAAACAGGCAACAAAGCAACTTATTCAATAGGTTAACCACTATGCTGAACCCTATAGATACTATATAAGAGAAATATATAATACAATCACTGTCTTCAAGGATTTTGCATCCTAATTGGGGCAACCTTGAAATTTTAAATAAAAGTAGGGCAGCAATATAAGAAACGGCATGAGGTGGCATTTGTTTGCGTGACAATAAATCAAACAATTAATAACCAAGTTTACCCATTAGGATACTTCTTACCTAATAGTTTATGAGAATGTATAGGTGACTAAAATATGTGGCCTTAAGTGCGTCTCTTAACTGTTCTAGGTCTCTTTTACCTCAAATATAAAATAAAGAGGTTGGTTTAGTTTGGCTCCAAGTCTCCTTCCAGTGCTTCAAGATTTCATGTTACATTCACAGCCTAAGAATTTCAGAACAATGAACGATCACACATTTAATCTAAGATAAAAAGTATTTTTTTGTGGGTCCTCCCAGGGCATAGATCTCTCTGCCTCGGTTTCTTCATTTGCAAATCAGGATAATACAATTTAATTCATGATCCAATATAAAATTATACTAATAAAGGGCTTAAGAGAATTCCTGGCATACAACGTATATTCAATAAATGTGACATACTATTATGATTCATCATAGGATATGAACAAAAGAGTTTAGTCACAGCTAATTCTACTCTGAACACCCTTTTCCCTTGGGTGTAAGCATTTTTGTCTCAAGCATGAGTACCTTCAAGTAGAAAGACATCTGACATACTTAATACCAGCATTTGCTTAATACTAGCTTCTGCCCTCTCACATTTTTTCTAGCAGTTATATTTATTACCATAAAACCATTTGTGTTACAAATATATCTCATATGATCACTTTCTGAGAATACAACTGGCATTCAATTAATAAATATACAGCATAAATATGTAACTTTTTAAGATATAATAAATGGAGACTGATACAGCACTTATATATTTAATGGTATGAAGACTCAGTGTTACATAATTTACCTTTGCCCCATTATAGACTCTTATAGTAGTCCAAGATTACTTCAGTTTATAGGCAATTTTAGCTTTTAATCATCCCATTCAGTATAGTATAGGTCCTAAGAGCATTTGGAAAAAATATTTGACCCAGTTCTTATAAACTGGAACTCTGGGCAAGGAGCTTAAACTTTTCATTCTTCAGTATCATTATCTATAAATTGGGATATACTACTATTCAATTTATGGTGGTATTGTGTTAAATAAGATAACCTATGTAAAGGGTTTCTAAGAATTCACTACATAGCAGGCATTCATTAAGGAGTGACTGCTATATTTATTCATCATGGAAATGAGAAAATGGAGATAGGATTCAGTCGTACTTCAGTTGTAAATTTTTAAAGTCTGTGTATCTTGGTTACTTCTTCTAAAAGTAATAATTTGAGAGATATAATATTTTTAGCTGAAATAAACCTTTGCAATCACCTAGTCCAATTACTTTATTTTATAAATGAAGAAACTAATGCCTGGAAGGATGGGTGAATGTCCGAAGTCATTGTGTGTTAATGGCAGAGCCAGAAAATTATACCTAATCACATATATTTAATATATTTTATTATAACACAGTTCAGAGTCTATTTGACATCTCCCTGTAACCTACATTTTTCTCAAATTATATAGGCGGAATAGTTCGCCACTTACTCTATGAAATTAACCCAGAATAAATTATTGGTGCTCATTTGTATCCTGCCTAAGATATCATTTTTTCTCTTCCTTATGATCTTTTGGGGGTTTTTGTTGTTGTTGTTGTTTGATCTAATTATTTTGATAAATGACACACAAAGGGAGAAAAAACACTTTAGTAATTTAAAGTAATCATAACTTCAGTAAGAATTTCTAATCATGCTGTATGAGTTAAGGTATATTTTTGACTTTCATCCTAATTCTCAGTAATTATGCATCTTTAAAATTTGATATCAGTTTCTAAAAGAGTGTATAGCATACTAGTAAATACATTACACACATTTTAAAGGCTGTGGATTTCATGAAGTGGGAAAAGTTGGTTTAAAACAAGTTACATAGGATAAGTTAACACACCTTAAAATCAATTTTCCCCTGACGAACACTGCTATAATTTCTTGATTTTAAGAAAAAAATCAATTTTGAGACAGTTTTTAAAATTAAAAATTTGTAAGTTTTTAAATATATATACATATACATATTATTCTATAGCTCCATGTTAATCCCAAGCTCCCTAAAATCAATATATTTCACTGAAATTCTTCGACGCAGTGGTTATTTTGGAACACAAACAAGTCTCCTTAAGTTTATCTCACCCTTCCCATTATCAATTATTACCTATGGCGCACCGTTCTTGGTCTGTTATTTTTCAGCAAGACTTTAAAATCAAAGCTAGGTAGGGTTCCGGTTTCAAACAGGCAGAAAAAGAAGAAAATAAACTCTTCACTCTGCTCATTCACTTCTCACCTTCTTTGAGATCAGACATCTTTGGAAAGGGCGGGTAGGGGGTGCAGGAACCTAACGCTCCCTGCAAAACCGCAGCCTTGGACAGAACCGACGCGGGCAGCTATGCCCCATTACCCGCAGGCCGCGGCGCCGGGTGCGCGCCCAGCCTCCCTGGGCCCGGCTGTGGCCCGCCCTCCGCGCCGCCCTCGCCGCCCACCTGCAGCAACAGGTGCTGATGCTGAGGCGCTCCCCTGGGGCTCAGCGATGCTCGCAGCACCACCCCTCAGCCATAGCCTACCTGGCCCCAGGAACACCGACATCCGCGCGCTCCCGGCGGTCCCCGCCGGCCCTCCACACACCCTCGCTCTGCCTCTGACTCCCGTCCGTACTCCTTGCCCGCGCTGCTGATTCTTACTACCACTACAGGATCAGGAGGAGGGCTCCATCCTCCTCCCCTTTCTCCCCCTCCCTTGCCTCCTCCCTCTGCATCCTCGCTCTGCTCCAATAGGACCCATGGCTCCCGGGGCAGCGCTCACCTGACCAGCGGAGCGGGGGTGGCCGCCCCGGGCTGCGCACTCTGCTCTCCGCAGCGGGCAGCCAGGTCCGCGCTCTGGCGTCGGGAACACCCTGCCTTGGCCATCCCTAATGGACTCTTCCAGCAGCCAGGCGCCTAGGCTGACCTGCCTCGGCTTAGGAGCGCGCGAGTCTTGCCTCTGCCTGGGCGTCCCAATGTAAGTGCGCGGTCAGTGCTTTCTAATCGTCTCCTTTGGCTAAACTTTCTAGTTGCCCCCTTCGGCACAAGGAACTCACCATGGACAGTGGTGCACACTGCCCTGGGTACTCCACTGTAAGCAATTCCTAGTTTTCTTTCAGGGAAAAAAAACCCATTTACTGAGTCTTTTTTCGTTCCTAAGAGAATGTTTCGTTTCACGTTTACCGAAGCTCTCCCTAAGTTTACCCCATAAGAATTTGAGCATAAATTGATGAAATATTAGAAAGGAAGGATCTACCCTCAACTGAACTTACAAAGCAGGGATTTAGGTCAACATCTGGGATAAATTGTCTGTCTCCTCATTTATAAAATAGGATTATTAATTACTCATAAGGCTGTTAGGAGTAGATGAATGAGACTGTGTGAAGTGCAACTCTTTACAGTACACCTGGCACGTGGTAAACCCTCAGCAAATGTTGCTTATCTTTCCCAGTACACAAAGGTAAAGGCTCAATGTCAGACCATACCATCAGCAATGTGCACATCCCCGCCTGCACCAGAGATTTTTAAAGCAAATGCAGCATTATTAGAATCACGGAAGTTTCAAACTGGGAGCAAAGAGAAAGATTAGCACTCCCACAGCAACTCACCGCTTTTTATAGAAAAAAAAAATGGGTTCTCAGCCTCCTCATTTTAAATGCAGCTCACACAAGTACTCTTCTTAATTGGAATAGGAATAACTAGATACTTTGTGTTACATACTGCCGTCCAGGGGCACTCATTTAGCGTTATTATGAGCTGTTGCTGAGCACCTCCTCTGAAAGCTGCAATACTCAACAAACAGCTGGGTATCAAACGGCAAGTTTGTTGAGACTAAATGATTCTTATACAGAAACCGTGTGGGAATGCAAATGACACATCAAGGCGCTGCAAAAGGTGGGGAGAATAGCAACCTAGGTGATCCAGGAGATTGAACAGCTTTCCTGTGAGGCTCAACAACAAAGGTCGGACCTGGGTCTGGAGGCTTTAAATCCACGAGCATATCAACGGAGTAGACACAGACAGACATGCTTACTAAATCCTGCCATATATGAACGGTAACTTCAAAGCAACTTAAAGTGAAAACTGTGAATCAATTATCCATGTAGTCACATGTAAAACAGAAAACAATAACAGAAAAATGTTTTCTTCCTGATTATTTAAAACGTCTTACTAAAATGTATATTCAACCCACAGTGTTGTTTTATTAGCGTTTGTAAAGGCTTTATTTGTGGCTAAATACCCTGGCAAAGTCAACGTCTACCAACCAAATATTCCATCTTAATTTTTGTTTCACCAAGTCCCATGATTAAACACATTCCCCACAACTGGACTTCCTCAGCTTGCATATTTACTTTGTGTATGACATTACCCTAGGCACTGTGATGAGTAAATGAAAATTTACACCCTCACCCAATCTACCTCAGGGAACTAGGTAATTAACAATTATTACTAAGTGTTTAGGAAGCAGAAGACTCTGTAAGGCACTGTGGGAAAAACAGTGATCTCTAAAACCACCCTAAGTTTATTAATTTGCACTCTTTCTGGGGTGAAAGTTAATCAACCGAAAAGCAGAATATGCCATGCAAAAAACAAGCCACTCAAGTGCTAGAAATCTCTAGGAAGAAGAGAGTGTATGGATTGCTGAAGGCTTCTCCAAAAAGCTTTGCTTTGAAGAATAAAACCACAAGAAACAACATAGTTGGTAATTGTGGTACAAATACTTGACAAAGTAGTGTAGATACTCTCAAATGCTGAAATTATTAAACAAATGCTCATTGAACTTAAATCCAAACTTCTTAACATGGACCAAGAGACCTCACATAATTCTATTTCTCTTTTCTTCTCCAGCCTCATCTAGTACCACTTTCCCTCCATTTCACTGTATTCCTATCACACTGACGCTTCTTTCTTTGTCTCAACCACAGCAAAATCATTCCTGCCTCCAAGACTTTGCACAAGCTTTTTCCTCTGCCAGGCACACTGCTTCTGCAGAGCTTCATATGGCTGGCTCTTTCTATCATAGACCTCATTTGAGGGGTAGCTCAACTATCTCTTCCTTGGAAGCACCTGCCCTGATAACTTTCACCGCCACTCTCAGCCACTACCCTCTTCTATGTAATTTCTATAACTTATCCCTAATAAATATCCCATTTACTTATTAAGATATTTAGGTGTTTTTGTCTCCCCATAAAAATGAAAGCTGCATGGGGGTAGCTTGCATGTCTCTGTCATTTGCTGCTCTATACTCAGTAGCTAGAATAGTCTCTGGGATATAGTAGAAACTCAGTACATGAAGGAAGGAAGGAAAGGAGGAAGGGAGGGAGGGAAGAGGTAAGAAGGGAGGGATGGAAGGAAGGGAGGAAGGAAAAGGAAGGAAGGGCCTGAAAGCCTGTCATATTAAAAAGTTTCCCAGAGCCCATTTTTCATTTCTTTATATTTCACAATCCAACCTTACAAAACATAAGACTTGATCCCATGTAAAATACAAATATGCCTGAATCAGAGATACTTTAAACCTCATCCATCATTACATCTTAGAGATCCTTTGTTCTTCAAAGGCTTTGATTTAAAAAGAAAGAAAGAAAAAAAGAAAGGAAAAGCATTACTAGGCACCTGGAGGTGGGAGGTGTCAGGTGCCACTGAGAGATAAGGGTGTTGAAAGGAAAGCTTAAGGTTCTAAAGACAAAGCCCAATTCCCAATTCTGCCTAAAAGCAACAATGGTAGAATGTAAGCCTTTTCTCCTACAGTAATCTTCATCAAAATCAACCCAGTAGCTCCAAATTTCACACAGTAAAGATAAATTAGTTTTCTTAAACCCAATAAGAAAAGTACTGATGTCATACAATTTTCCTTCCTATTCCAATTTAATTAGTCTTGCATACTAAGTAAACCTTATAAATCTTGTGAAAAGATCTTTATATTCCCTTGAAAATGGTATTTTTTTATATCCTAGGTTTCACATATCTAAGTTTAGGCATGCGTAAAGGAATTTCACCAAAGCAGCAAAATCAAGTTCAGGCAATATCTACTCTCTCTTACCCCCCAAAAGTAAAAGTAGGATAATACTTCGAGAGTACCCGAATCTGCCTTTAAAGGCTTTTTCTGTTTGGGCCCTAGGTCCCAGATAGGAAAAGAAAAAGTAGTGATTGTCAGGAGCCACGGACTTGAACTCCTCTTTCTCTCCCCACTCTTAAGTTCAGACCCACCTAGAATCTAAAGATAAAATAAGGCACCCAGTCACATCAACAGTCCCCCAACCCCACTGCATTTGCACACTAATATGTAGTAACATTCTCCATAGATTTTAGTTTATCATTTTAGAACTCTATAATTGTCTTCATCCATTTTTGCATTGCTTTAAAGGAATACCTGAGGCTGGATAATTAATAAAGAAAAGAGGTTTATTTGGCTCACAGTTCTGCAGGTTGTACAAGAACCATGGTACCAGAATCTGCGTCTGGTGAGGGCTTCAGGTGCTTCCACTCATGGTGGAAGGTAAAGCAGAGCTGGCAGGTGCAGAACTCATATGTCAAGAGAGGAAGCCAGAGAGAGAGCTGGGAAGTACCAGGTTCTTTTTAACAACCAGTTGTCTCGGCAACTAATAGAGCAAGAATTCACTCATGGACAGCACCAAGCTATTCATGAAGGATCCACCTCCTGGTGGATCCAAATACCTCCCATTAGGCCCCAACTCCAACACTGGGGATTGGACTTCAACATGAGGTTTGGAGGGGTCAAATGTCCAAACTGTAGCAATAATGAAAAAACAAACAGAACTTAAATCCAAGTTATCTCAGAGTCAGGCACATAAATAGGCTCTTAACATTCTTTAAATGAGCGATATGATTGGGAAAATAAGTGAGAAGGAGGCCCCATTGTCAGAACCTGATTCAGAATTTGTAAGTCAAAGGAAAGAATTTCCTGTCCCAAAGGGATCAGAGAATCCGTTTAACAACAAAGACTACTTTCAGCCTGAGAATCTGCTCCAGTGTCAGAAAAAGATGAATATTCTTGGGCTTTTGGAAATAAAAAGCCTCCAAAAGTCTGAGGAAGTTCCTAAACAGTCTTTCACACAGAGCTATGTGTTGGTACTGCCACTCACTCAGACACTCTGCTCCAAACTGATTTTCATTTAATTGATCTCTTGCTTAATAATACTTAATAACCTGCTGCCTCTAAGCTGCCAGACCTTGCTTTTCCTCTTCTTCCAATAGTATCATAATCCAGCTAGCTGCAATGCATATTTTAAATGAGTACCTATTTATTCAGAAGCATCATTAGACACTCAGAATATGAACATGAGCAAAATATGATCTCTGCCTTCATCTAGTCCACTTCAATAGGAGAAAGAAGACATAAATTCTAAGTACAGTGTGAACAGTTCTATCAGAGATATATAAGGAAAGATGATTCAAAGAAAGGAGGGAAGAGATTACTTGTTTGAATCAAGATGACTTCCCTCTTGGCTCAGAGAGAACTCTCACACCCATCCTGTTTCAGCTCTGGGACTTACTGTTATACTTCTGACAGAACAGCCAGGTGTTCCCAATCACCTCTACCTGTAGGACCTGGGTTAGCCATGCTATAACTGAGTCAGCAGGAAACATGTAAAAACAGTTTTAAACCTGTATGCCTAGACATCAGGAAACCTTTAATATAAAGAGCCAGATAATAAGTATTTCAGTTCAGTTTCATAGGCCACATAGTCTCTGTGGCAACTATTCAGCCTTGTCATTCATTGTAGTGTGAATGGATCCAAAAACAATAGGTAAACATATGAGCCTGGCTGTGTGCTAATAAAATATCTACAAAAAGTGGCAGTCAGAAAGGGTCATAGTGTACCAATGCCTACTCTATGCAGAAGCAAAAATTACTTAATTATCAAGTCCTTTTTTGATACTGGTATCTGTCCTAAATTGACTAACTCATTCAACAAACATCTACTAAGTGCCAATATTGCATAATGCCTCAGAGATGGAAAGGTGAATAAGGACATGGTCCCAGCCCACAAGAAGCTTTCTGTAGCAGAATTTGCTGGCTGAAGCTTTCTGTAGCAGAATTTGCTGGCTTGTCCCACAAGGTTCCTCTGCGTGTTACATGTTAAATATATTCTATCTCTGATTCTTTGCAAAAAAAAAAATCTGCACTGTTCTGTTCTAGGTCTTCATTTTTGTAATATTCTGTTTCTTCTTTCTCTGCCTAGTTTCTGATCAATATTTTCACCTGACTCTCAGACTCTCAAACCTGCTATACATCCAGATTCTGGTTAACTTCTTGCTTAATCTGATCTAAAATTCTGACTCTTACCAGACTTATGCCAAATTCCCCATTCTCAACCTCTAAAAAAATTCAAACAAGTATAATGAGCATCTGCACCCACTGGTACTTCGTGTCCAACTGCTATGAACATTGTATGATATTATAAACCAATGCATTAAATGAGGCATCTTCTGCTCCCCTGGAACTGGTGATTAGGTACAGGTTGGGACCAAAGAAACAAGTACATGACTTCTAAAGAAATCTGCCAACCATTCGGAACAGAATCTACTTCCAGAGCTTTCTTAGAGGTGAAAGGATTGAATATAGGACAATTACCTGCCTCCATAGTCACCCCAAGAAGAAGGGAAAAAGGAAAGAGGCAGTCATAAGTAGTTAGCCTAGTGGGGAGGTTCTGGCTTTTCTCTCTTGTCCAGAAAATTTGTGGTAGAGATTGGAGACTGTATTAGAGAGTGAGAAACAGCAACTCATTCTCTCATTGGATGTCAATACCTTATTGATCTGCCCTAAGCCTACCACTAAGAGGAAAGAGAATTTAAGAAAGAAAGATGGTAGGACCCAGAGAAGGACTGCAAGGGAGAAGCCTCACTCATACCTTTGTGCAAAGATGTATAGATCTCCCATGAATTGTGATACTATGTAAGCTGCTCATAAGCAAAATATTGCCAATACCTGACAAGAGAACAGCCTATGCAGCAGGAAGATCCCAGGAATAAGAGACTGTGTACTTCTGGGCAATAGCTGAAGGAGGTAGTTAAGGAAGAACATACTTCAAGCAACCATACTATGGGTTAGGCTCGCAGAAGCCAACCGAACTTACCTGTGTGCTTTTGGGAAAGTTAGTATGCTGGTCACACAGGCAGGAGCTAGTCTGTTATCAAGAGAAGCAACCACAACCCTAAAGAAAGGCACTGTTCCTATAAGCATGTTAAATAAAAGGATGTTTGTCCTTTTCCTATTTTCCCTCAGTATCCAGAAGAGTTAGGCTTTGAAAAGGAACAGGTAGAAAAGGGGCTTCCTAAAACCAGAATCACCATACACAGTCTCTCTCTCTCTCTCACTCTCTGTCTCTCTCTCTCTTCAAATTGGTCTCTTGGAGGAGAAAGCTTTAAATATGGTTTGAGATTGGTGCTTTAAATTATATTGCAGTTGTGAAATCTGCCCAAGGGATCTGCTACCCAGTGAGAAAGAATGTAGGACACCTACAGAAGATATGGGAGATCACAATGCTGATTCATGTTGAACCCCACTGAATTAAAATTCCTCAGTAAACCAGTTGTCTCACTATTTCTAAAAATGTTGCTATGGAGAGGGACGCCGTGGCTCACACCTGTAATCCCAGCTCTTTGGGAGGCCGAGGCAGGCAGATCACCTGAAGTCAAGAGTTCAAGAACAGTTTGGCCAACATGGCAAAACGTTGTCTCTATTAAAAAGACAAAAATTAGGCGGGCGTGGTAGCATGTCCCTGTAGTCCCAGCTATTCGGGAGGCTGAGGCAGGAGGATTGCTGGAACCTTGGAGGCAGAAGTTGCAGTGAGTTGAGATTTTGCCACTGCACTCCATCCTGGGCAACAGAGCGACACTCCACTTCAAAAAAAAAAAAGTTACTATAAATTTCAGTTCCCCAATTTTGCAAAGGGCAAAAGCCTCAAACCACAAATGTGGGAAACATTCTTAGAAAATCATTAAAATAATAATTTAATAAAATATTAAAATATGAGTACTGTCATAAAATCAGTTTAAATTTGTTTAACTTGCTGTTTCACAAATTTATTTATAAAATAGCAAGATAGAAACATTTTTTTCAGTCTTATTCCAATTAACATTCAAAATACAATTTGGAAGTGCTGTTTTAAAGAAGTATTAAAGCCTTACTGTGGGTCTAACATCAAAGTCATATGAATTCCAGTGTGGCAGCTAACGGAAGGGGACTGAGTTTCCTTGGGGTTTGACATCCTTATGGCTTAGGGCCATGCCTGTCCATGTCAGTCCCTTCATGGGTGCAGGAGTTGTGCAACTCTTGTTCACGTAATTACCATTTACATGAAATCTATGTGACTGGTGCTCCTGGAGCTGTCTCTCCAATGAGGACTGCATAAGAAAACATGTACTTTATGAGGAGATTGAAAAGCTGGTGAAAGTCCAGGCATGGTGGCTCCAATGCCTGTAATCCCAACACTCTGCAAAGCTGAGGCAGGTGGATCACTTGAGCCCCGTAGTTTGAGACCAGCCTGGGCAATACAGTGAGACTTTATCTCTAAAAAAAAAATTAAATTAGCAGCCCAGCGCGGCGGCTCACACCTGTAATCCCAGCACTTTGGGAGGCTGAGGCAGGCGGATCACGAAGTCAGGAGATCGAGACCATCCTGGCTAACACAGTGAAACCCCGTCTCTACTAAAAACACAAAAAATTAGCTGGGCGTGGTGGCGAGTGCCTGTAGTCCCAGCTACTCGGCAGGCTCAGGCAGGAGAATGGTGTGAACCCGGGAGGCGGAGCTTACAGTGAGCCGAGATGGTGCCACTGCACTCCAGCCTGGGCGACAGAGCGAGACTCCATCTCAAAAAAAAAAAAAATTAGCAGAGTGTGGTGGCGCTGGCCTATAGTGCCAACTGCTTGGGTGGCTGAGATAGGAGGATCACTTGAGCTCAGGAGGCAAAGGTTGAAGTGAGTCATGACAGCACCACTGCCCTCCAGCCTGGGCAACAGAGCGAGATCCCATCTCCTCCCCACTCCCTGACCACCACTAAAAAAAAAAGAAAGAAAGAAAAGAAAAGCTGGGGAAGATTTTGGAAAATTGAGAGGAGTAAGTCCTTCTGGAAGGTATAAAGCAGAAGAGCAGAAAGATTTCAAGAGCTCAAAAATAGCTCCAGGGAGACATGACACCACACTTTCCCAGAAAGGAGTTAAGGTGTGAGCAGCATCTCAAGCCTTGGTTGGTTCTATTTGGACAAGGTAGGCCCACTGAAAGCTGCTTCTCAAAAAGCTTCATGGAGTGACCCAGAGGGAAGAATCTGAAGTGCGTCTAGGAGTCTGGTCTCCACATTTTCCTGTCTTGCCAAGGCCTTTGGATCTTATCTAGACTATGTGTGGGTTATCTAGTGGTGACAAATTTATCATAATTTATTATGACTATTTTGAAATCTTTAATGTGATGTGACAAAATCTTCTCTGTAAATGATTTCTTCCCTATATAGATGAAGTATACAAAAAGTAGTTCCTCTTTAAGACTGAGATGTTTGATAAGCCAGCAGTCAACCCAGATCCTCACAGACAACAGAAGTTGAGGTGCCATTTTAGAAGCTGAAACCACAAGCGTGATAACAAACAAACCCAACAAAAAAGGCTTTTCTCTTTGCTTCTTCATGTGAAATTAATACTTCACTTTTTTTGTACTTGTTTATCTTTCTCTTTTCTAAATTTTTTTTTATTTTTATACTTTAAGTTTTAGGGTACATGTGCACAATGTGCAGGTTTGTTACATATGTATACATGTGCCATGTTGGTGCACTGCACCCATTAACTCTTCATTTAACATTAGGTATATCTCCTAATGCTATCTAAATTTTTATACTCTCATGAAATGTTCTAAAATTAATAAGTAAAATACAAATGATAAATTAAGTATTATCTTCATGTTCTACTGCAAATATTTTAAATCTTTACCTTCCTAAGTTAAAAATGTTTTTTTCAAGAAGTCTATTTATAGAACATGATGTCTGAGACTTTGTGATATCAGTCACTAGTATGGTTTCTATTTCTAAAGCCATAGAATAGCAAAAATAAAAACATTTAATATGGTTAGGTCCAGATGATGTCAAGAGATCATATAGTGTAGATAGGTGGAGTGAACTTAGATTAATTTATTAACCTTTCACATTTTAGTTTCCTTATCTGCAAAATAGAGAGTCTCCTAGGACTCATTGCTCAGGCTTGTGTGTGGATTGAATGAGATAGTGAAGTCTGCTACATAGTGAGATTTTAATAACTGACAAACAGAAAAACAGCAAAATAAAACAAAACAGTTATTGCCTACTCTAGTTGTATTTTAGCTGCAATTGAGACAGTTTTTCTTCTCAGTTAACCAATTCAATATTGAAAAAACTACAGTGTTAATTATACATAAATAAAGTTAACAAATACATAATCGCATATATAATAGCAATTTCCCACTAAAAGTTTTAAAATAACATCTTTTCATTGATGTGAATTGCTCCTGCTTTTAATATATCTTGATATACTTTATACTAATAAAGAAAAGAACACATATGTAATTCCTAAGTAGCTCCATCAAATGAATATTAAGATCAAGTAATATCCAAGTATACATATTACTTTCCGACATTTATTTCCTTACAAATCTAAATATATGCAGCAGTAATAGTATGTGATTACACATATTGTATTTTTTTTTTACTGGCCACATGTAATACTTTATTACATTATTCAGTAAAAGACGAATTGAGTAGAATTTATGTCCTATGGGAAATATTTTAAATCTGTATTTCCAAGCTAAAAATATTTTATCCTACAAAGTATGTTTACAAAACATTTACAGAGAATGCTGTCTGAGACTTTAAAATCAATAATAGTTTCTATTTCTTAGCAAGAAGCACATCTCAGAGCAGTTTTTCTCACATTTTAAAAGGAATTCCTCCATAAATCAAACATAAATGTATATCCAGTTTTTAACTTTTTGAGAACAGCTAATTAAATCTGTTTTTCACCCCCAGTTGCCTCTGGTTTAGGCACGCTGTGTGTGGCACTTCCCATGGTTTGTCATTTTGCTTTAATGGCAGGGGGAGGAAGCCAGCCAGGCTCAGTAAGCACGCTGCATATCAAAATGTCGCCATGGCAGCGTTTGTCCACTTGTCAGAGTCCTTCTGAAATGACTCAGCCATTCATTTTGTTGAATCAATATTGAAGCTTTTGAGATTTATTACTTGAGGTTTGGGAGGAGACAAGGCAAACAAATCCTTCATTCCTAACTTCGAGTTCCAGTTGAGCCAAGATTATTATTTCTGTCTACACTTTATTTATGAGGATAGAATATAAGGTTTCCACTCCTTGCATAATTATCTTATAATAAGCTTGCATTTACATTCCAGAGACTACAGTAAAAAAGAATTTAAATTTTCCAGAAATATTCTGTGGGCTGTGGTAAACTTATCCAACGATGAGTTCAAACAGTTAATTTCCTGGGAGGTATGTGAGGGGGGGATGGAGATGAGGGGACGGTATAAATCTTTTGGTACAAAATCTTTAAATCTATGATATAAAACATATTAAATTCCACTTCTATATATAACGTATCTTGAAACAGAAGTAACAAGAAGCATGTTATCTACCAAACCTTTCTATTTATTAATAATCACTTCCATGCATTAATGCCTTCACCATTCAACAAATTTAAAATTATAAAACTGACCCTTTCTATTGCAAAATACTGAGAATTCTTCAAATACGTTTTTATAATCACGTAAGTTTCTAGTAGATTGGGTCACAAAATGAGACTGTTTTCTCAATTCAAGGATTCACTGTGTACATTTTCAGCCCTCAGTGGCTTATGTCCAGTGCAGAGCTCATCAGTACTGTCCAAAGATGAAATTATGAGAAATTTTTAAGACTATAATGCTGCCTGACAAGACCCTGAAGTGCCTTTGAAGCTTCATTGACAGATAGAGTCAGGCTAAAGTGAAAGAGGGCAAGTTTCTCTTCAATATTCCTCTTTCAGATCCCTTCCCATGGGTGGGGAGTCTCTCACTAAACATCCAGTCCTACATGGATATGCACAGGATGCTGCAATCCAATTATCCTAAGTGGGGCGAGTCTACACCAGATAACCTGATGAAGTCATCTGTGTTGGGATATAGGAAAAGTTCTCCCAGAGCCCCCAAGCTCAACCAAGGACTTCTTCAGTCTGAAGTAATGTTTGTTTTACCAGTGGCTGCAAGCAAACAAAGACACTACAAACAAAGCTCCCACTGTCTATTCCCTCATGGGTGGGAAAACCAAGCCCAGTGAGAAAAGAGGGTTGACTTATGGTGTGTCTGGAGATTGTGCAAGGTCTTGCAAAGTTTACATCTTATGTGTGGATGCCTGGTCCACTTGACACAAACATCTCTGCCAACAGTTTTAGACTTGAAGTTAGGAGTGCTCTACCTTTCAAATCATATTGAAATGCATATACATATTCTACAAAGATTTAATACTTTGTGACTTGTAAATGTCAGGTCATATCAGAAAACTTACACTGAAATTGTCTCACTTTTCAGAAAACAAAAATTCTTTTCAAGTTTTCTTTTTTTTTTTTTTGTAGGGTTCTGAAAAAAGGTTGAGATTGTGTTTCAAAGAGTACCATGAAGAAACACACAGTTTTAGCATTGCATTAGAGCAATCTCACATGGAATATTCCCAAACAAAACGGAGTTCTCTAATACTCCTTAGTTCTTTCCTTTTCTGTCTTTCTTTTCTTTTCTTCCAAAAGCAAGGAAGTGAATTGTGAATATTTCTTACAAGAAATGCTGAGCTAGTTAATTTCTGATAATTATAAAAGCATGGGTGGCCACTAGTTCAAAGAAAATCTTTCCCAGATAAAACCAATTATGAGCAGAGACTTTAACTGTGTCCCTTTATCCACTGCCAAAATGCAGTATCAATAGGACAGAATGTGAAAGCGGCAGCTTTCATATGAAAGGTACTGAAAGTATTCATCTTTTGGTAGTAGTTCTGCCACCACATGGAATTGAATAAAAGGAAAGAGAATTATGCGCATCAAGTTGAATTATGCAACTGGAGAGCAAGAAAGGCAAATCATAACCAGATGTGTATATGCCTTTTTTTTTATTCTTAAATTTTAATTGATATCACCACACAGCCAACGCACTCTACTGGCATTATGAAGTAATTAAAAATAATACAAAAGAAAAATTGACTAACATATATTATCATTTAAGTAGAAAAGTATTTACAGCAGAGAAATACTATCAGAAATGTCTTTAAAACATCAGTATTAGGCTGAACCACATGCAATTGATATTTTCTTATGTTAAAATGTTCAATATTACCAGAATTGTTGAATAAGAGCAATTTCATATGGTTCAACCTAATATATAATTTTCTTCCTATTTTAAAACGGCAGCCTATTTTGTTCTTTGTCATCATCACTCAATGGAACAAAATACATTGACTTAATTTTATTTTATTTATTTAAGTTATTTAGCTTTTTTAGCCACCTCATATGGAATTCCATAAACACATGAATCAATTAATGTTTCTTTTTTCTACCTTTAAGAATTTTTTTAAAGTTGCATATACAAAAATATCTCATTACTCAGTCTGAGTCTATTCTCAGCTGTCATGGGGCACTTTAAGAGAAACGTTTATCTATTTGTGATGATGGTAAAAGGAGGATGCTCTTCCCCATTTGAAGAAGTGGATCAGCTCTGCTTTTATACCCTTCTACAAAATGCTGACGTAAGCAAAGTGACAGCCTTTCTCCCTTTGGTACCTTGAGGGGCCCAGAAGTAGGCATTTTTGGCTTATTGAGGGGATTGGAAGATCTTAGAGGGAGGACTAGGAGCTGTGGGAGTGGGGTTGATTGAAGCTTTACACTAATGGAACTAGAGGGCAAGAGCAAAGCCTATCTGTGGATGATCATCCCAGCTCTGATCAGAAACACCTCTAGGTGTTTAGAGAGAAAATTTAGTGCTAGAAATGAAGGTAAAGTTCAAAGATTAGAAGTTGGCTTATTTTAGGAACAGTGTTGAAAGGAAAGAAGAAGAAAGGGTGAAGAAGAGGAGCAGAATGGGACTGAGTTGAAAGAGAAAAAGAACTTGGCCACTGAGTGCTGCCTGTACAAGTGAGTTTAAAAATATAGCACTAGGGATGGGAGATGGAGAGCAGACAGTCGTCATCCATACTCCAGAGCTTAGCAGCTAGAGGAGAATCAATATCCAAACAAATGTTTAGCTATGCTCAGGACAACTGCAGTTGGCTCCCACTATAGGGGCAGAATTTCAGTGGCATTACTGAAAAAAATTCACATTCCCAGTGATAATCTACTACACTCAACAATTGGAAGTGTTCTATTTGCAGTTCACATAAAAGCAACACAGCACAAAACTCTGGACAATTTCTCAAGAGAAGAACTTTAATAACTCTTCCTAAATTAGAGTCAAAGGTCAGAGACAGTCTGGCAGTTACCAAGAAAACAGTTCTTTCCCAGAGTTCAGTATAAAACTAACCCAGTGTAGAAATACTAGAAAGCGGTTCAATATTTCAGTAGCCAATTTATCGTATTAACTAAATTCTGTTCCTTCTGACCACTTTCTCACCTTGCATTGTTATTCGTTCCTTTCTGTTCCAAGATGAAACCTTGAGTAGATCCCATTTGTCACATTCATTTTCAATTAACAAGTAGCCTTATTTCTCAGATAGCACAAAGCAAAGCTTAACCTCTCATTAAGCTTTGAGAGTTAGATCGTTGCCTGACCTAGGTTATAAAGCCTACAGTGGAAAAAGAGGGCATGCTTATCCTTTTTTTCAATTCCTCCCAACTGTACTACTTATCCCCTTTTGCTATGTTCTTTTATGGCTCTTCCAGGATTGGAAAGCAGGGAAAGGCATAAGGGATGTAAAAAAATGTTATTTCTTAATGAGTTCTTTGGCGCTGTCATCTGTGGGGACCCCAACATGGGCTAGGTCTTCCTGGGCAACCCATTTACAATTAACCCCCCAGTCTCTAACTTCTGGCAGTCCATCACAGATGCTTTCCACAGGGGTTCATTCATCCCTTCTGATGGGTCTTGTGAATGAGGTGCCTTAAGAAATTTAGACACATTTGTCCTATCCACAGCTGGCCCTCAGAACACCACACCTATCTCCTACAATTATTCTGCCTCCAGGGCAGGGTCAAACTCACTGTTGGACTTTCTCAAGATGAGTCAAGTAACAGTCACTCTGTCCCTCAAACTCCACATCAAATTCTCCAAGTGATCCTCTGATTGTCTGCCATTTTTACCTAGGGGTGGCAGAGGTAGATTGCACAGCACAATGACAACTCTAAGAGGATTCTTACTAAAGGCTTAAAGATCAATATTCTGGCCTCCACTTATATACCCTGGAGGTAGGTGATGAGCTAAGAATCACAGAGTCAGTTGTCTCTTTCTTCACAATGTAATTATTAGCTAATCTTGCAGAATCTGGAACAACTGTCTGAGTTCAGGACACTGTTCTGGGACCTCAGACAAGATACTTAATTTCTCAGTGTCCTTTTGTATAAAGTACTGAAATCTATAATAAATAAAAGCAATAGCTACAGTATAAATTTGTTTTAAAAATTAAATGCATAAAGTACATAGAACAGTGCTCGGTGTCCAATCATGAGGAAAACTGACATTATGTGCCTTCTGATATGATGCACAGAGAAGTATCCAACATCACCAATGTAGGGTTCTTGCCAAAAACCATTTAATCTCAATCTAATCATGAGGAAACAATGAATCAAATCTAAATTGAAGTGTAGTCTACGAAACAACTACAGCCTATATTTTTTAAAAATACCATCATCATGTCAGACCAAAAAATTGAGATGGGGAAAGAGAAGCTGGAAAACACTTCTGGATTAAAAGAAACTAAAGGAGCTTGACAACTAAATGCAATGCATAATCCTTGATTAAATCATGGACTGCATTTTAAAATTAACTATAAGCCAAAAATAAAAATCTAAGCCCCCTCAACCGATGGAATGGACCACCCCTTCCCTTGGTGAAGGGCATTCCAAAGTAAACCTAAAAAACTAGTTCAGGTCATTATGGGAAGGGAGGGTTGGACATGCCTCATTATACCCTCCTCCCTTGGGAATTCAGACACTTCTGACCAGCATTAACATTAAAACAGAGATCTTCAGACTGACCAAACTGACTCTTTGCGGCAATAAGATACATTGCAAAATGACAGATCCCAGGCCCTGAAAGAAATCAGAAGTATTTTACTCCCAAATATATTTCTTTGACATACTTTTAAATGGCCTTGAAAAGCTGTCTCTTGTGGGGTAAATTTACATTCTGTAGAGAATCCCATTCCCTTTCCAGTACTTTCCTGATGTAAGAGAGATTTACTGAGTCTGGCATCTTTGAAGGTCTGGTAAAAAACATTTACCGTCTATTCTCTCTTAAGCCTGCTACCTGGAGGCTTCATCTGAATAACAAAAACCTTGATCTCCATATCCCCTTATTGTATCCCAGATATTTCTTTTTATTGATTCTAGGTCTTTAGACAATAACTCAACGACTTGCCAATCAGAAAATCTTTGAATCCACCTATGACCTGGAAGCCCCTGCCCCACTTCAAGTTGTCCCACCTTTCCAGACCAAAACAATGTGTACACCTTACATGTATTGATTGATGTCTGCTTGTAACTTCTGTCCCTCTAAAATGTATAAAATCAAACTGTAACCCAATAATTCTGGGCACGTGTTCTCAGGACCTCCTGAGGCTGTGTCATGGGCATGTCCTTAACCTTGGCAAAATAAACTTCTAAATTGATTGAGATTTGTATCAGATACCTCTGGTTTACAAAACAAATAAACACAAAAAGAAAACCAGATAAAGGGCCAGGCGCGGTGGCTCACACCTGTAATCCTAGCACTTTGGGAGGCCGAGACAGGCAGATCACGAGGTCAGGAGATTGAGACCATCCTGGCTAACATGGTGAAACCCCGTCTCTACTAAAAATACAAAAAATTAGCCAGGCGTGCTGGCGGGCGCCTGTGGTCCCAGCTACTCAGGAGGCTGAGGCAGGAGAATGGCGTGAACCCTGGATGCAGAGCTTGCAGTGAGCGGAGATGGTGCCACTGCACTCCAGCCTGGGTGACACAGTGAGACTCTGTCTCAAAAAGAAAAAAGGAAAACCAGATAAAGGACACAATCAGGGTAATCTTGGATATTTAAATATGAACTGAATATTAGAGAATAATACTGTATCAATTTTATGTTTTTTCAGTTACAATTGTGTTGTGATTATGTAGAAGAATGTCCTTGTTCTTAGGAGACATATGCTGTAGTATTTAAGGGTGAAGTGTCATGATATCTGCAGCTTATTCTCAAATACTTCCTCAAAAATTGTATTAAAAATAAAAAGAATAGTGCCATCCACATCATAAATCTTAGAACAATACCTGACACAATAATCAGTAAGTGTAAGCTCTGTGTTATTAGCACAGACAGCTAGAAAACAGAGAAAAAATACATTTAAACCTATTACATGAATGTCAAATTGAATTAACGCAATGAATCATGAATTTTCTAGGCCAACACCCTCTTTACCCACCACTCGCCATTCCCAGCATCCACCCCAATTCCATGACTTCAGTGGCTGACACAGCCTGCGCTCCTATAACTTTTTTTCCTTCATCCTGACGGGTCCCTGTAACTATTCTGTCCCTGTCTATTAGTATACTTTCACACTGCTATAAAGATATATTGGAGACTGAGTAATTTATAAAGAAAAAAAGCTTACTTGACTCACAGTTCACATGGCTGGAGAGGCCTCAGAAAACTTACAATCATGGTGGAAGGGGAAGCAGGCACATTTTACATGGCAGCAGATGAGAGAAGAAGACAGAGCAAAGGGGGAAGAGCCCCTTATAAAACCATCAGCTCTTGTGAGAACTCACTCACTATCATGAGAAAAGATGGGGAAAACTGCCCCCATGATCCAATCACCTCACACCAGGTCCCTTCCTCATTACCTGGAGATGACAATTCAAGATGAGATTTGGGTGGGGACACAAAGCCAAACCATATCATCCTGGCCACCTTCATTCCAGCTGTAGAGATGGAACCCACTCTGCTGCTTTCCATCTCCAACTTTGCCCTTCCTCAGCTTCCCCACTCTTTTCTTCAGACCATGCCTCCAACAAATATAGTTTCTAACCTTCTAGTTTACACTTTGGTAGCTAATATGATCAGAAGAATATCTTTTCTAGTTGTGCTTTAATCTGTAACATTTTGATTCACAATTGACTTATATTAGAAAATCTTTTGAACCTTAAAACCCATGCAGTAACTTGGCTTAGATACCTTTGAGGCTACACCTTACACAACAACTTAGTGGGTCTCAAACTTTTTAGTCACAACTTCTATGTATCTATTCATTAATTCAATTAAAAATAAACTGATTTCATGTTAATTGAAATAACATATTTTATGAAAAATATATTTTTGAAAACAAAAATATTTAGTGAGATCAGTGGCATTATTTATCATTTAAAAATCTCTTTAATGTCTGACTTAGAAGATAGCTGGATTCTTTTTTAAAAATTTGTGGTAAAATACACATAACATAAAATTTATCATTTTAACGTGTACAATTTGGTGGCATTTAGTACATTCACAATATTGTGCAACTAGGATCACTATCTAGGTCCAGAACATTTGTAGCTTCTCAGTGGGAAAACCTGTAACCATTAAGCAGTCACTTCCTATTCCTCCCTCCTTATTCCCTGGCAACAACTAATCTGCTTTCTGTCTCTATGGATCTGCCTATTCTAGATTTTACAGTATAAATGGAATCATGCAATGTGTGTGACCTTTTATGTCTCACTTCTTTCACTTAGCATAATATTTTCAAGGTTCATCCATATTGTACCATATAGCAGTACTTCATTCCCTTTTACGGCTGAATAATACTCAAATTGTATGTGTTTACCACATTTTGTTACCCATTCATCTGTTGATGGACATTTGATTTGTTTCTACCTTTTGGCTATTACGAACAGTGCTGTAATTAACTTTATGTACAAGTTTTTGTTTGAACACCTGTTTTCAATTCTCTTGAGCATATACCTAAGAGTAGAATTGCTGAGTTACGTGGTAATTTTATTTTTCACTTTTGAAGAATTGCCAAACTGTTTTCCACAGCAACTGCACCATTTTATATTCCCACCGATAATGTATGAGAGTTCCAATCTCGACATCCTTACAAATATTCATTTTCCATTTAAAAAAATTGTGGCCAGCCTAGTGAATACAAAGTGGCTTCTCATTGTGGTTTTGATTTGCATTTTCCTAATGACTAAACGATAAGCATCTTTTCAAATGCTTTTTGGTCATTTGTATATCTTCTTTGTAAAAATACCTGTTCAATTCTAGGCCCATTTTTCTTTTTTCTTTCTTTCTTTTTTTTTTTTTTTTTTGAGACCAAGTCTTGCTCTGTCGCCCGGGCTGGATTGCAGTAGTGCGGTCTTGGCTCACTGCAACCTCCACCTCCTGGGTTCAAGCAATTCTTCTGCCTCAGCCTCCTGAGTAGCTGGGACTACAGGCATGTGCCACCAGGCCTGGCTAATTTTTTGTATTTTCAGTAGAGACGGGGTTCCACCGTGTTAGCCAGGATGATCTTGATCTCCTGACCTCATGATCGGCCCTCCTTGGCCTCCCAAATGCTGGGATTACAGGTGTAAGCCACCGCACCTAGCCTGGCCCATTTTTTTAATTGAGTCATTTGTCTTTTTGTTGTTGAGTTGCAAGAGTTCTTTATATTTCTGAATACGAGACAACATACATATTTACAAATATTTCCTCCCATTTCATAGGGTGTCTTTTCATTCTCTTGGTAGTGTTTTTGATGCCCAAAAGTTTTTAGTATTGATGGAGTCCAATTCATCTATTTTTCTTTTTGTTTTTTATTCTTTTGTGTCATACTTAAAAAGCTATTGCCAAATCCAAGATTATGACTGTTTATGTCTATGTCTTCCTCTAAAAGTTTTATAGGTTTAGCTCTAATTTTTAGGTCTTTTTCCAGGTTGAGTTAATTTTTGTATATGTTATGAGGTAGGGGTCCAACATGGTTCTTTTGTGTGTGGATATCCAGGCGTCCTATCATCATTTGTTGAAGAGATTATTCTTTCTCTATAGAATGGTCTTGGCATCTTTGTCAAATATCAATTGACCATAGATGCATGTTTTTATTTCTGAACTTTCAATTCTACAATATTAATCTATATGTATATCTGTAAAGGCTAAAGCAACTTAATCTTGGATGCTAATCTGCCCTGTTGACTTCTGATTGACCCCAGTTCCAGGAATGCCTCTAATATTTTCATCTTATCTACTGCTCCTGTGTAAGAGCATGTACTTACTACAAATCCTGTCCTTAGGTCAAAACAACCTTGACCATAAATCCTGTGCTTCAGGAGATTACTATGGCATTCTTGCCTTTCTCTATAGTTGTCCTATACATTCCTTCCCTATGGTATATTATCCCTGAGGAGTGAAGGTGCTGATATCCACCATCTTGTCTCACCACCACCGAGACACAGACATGATTGTCTTCATAAATCCTTAATCATGTTTATTTCTGAAAAACTGGATACCTTATTTTCTTTCTTTGGCCTTTCAGCTTCCTCAGACTTTTAAGGGTAGTCTTGCATAGACCTGCCACCATGGAACATCCTTATGCCAGAACCACACTGTTGATTATTGTAGTTTTGTAATAGGTTTTGAAATTCAAAAGTGTGTATCCTCCAAATTTGTACTTCTTTTTCAAGAGTATTTTGACTATTCAGGATCTTTGCCATTTTATATGAGTTTTAGGATCAGTTTTTCAATTCTAAAAAAATGGCCAGTAGGATTTTGATAGGAATTACATTGAATTTGTAGATATTTGTAGGAAGTATTGTCATCTTAATGATATTAATTCTTCCAATCCATCAACACATCATGTCTTTCCATTTCTTTAGATATTCTTTATTTTCCCACAGCATTATTTTGTAGTTTTCAGTGTACAAATCTTACATCTCTTGATAAGAGTATATTCTTAAGTATTTTTTGATGCTATTACAATCTTAGTTTCTTTTTCAGATTGTTCATTGTTAGTGTACAGAAATACTAGTGATGTTGTGTGTGTGTATCTTGCATCTTTCAAGTTTACTGAAGTCATTTATTAGCTGTAATGACCAGTAAATTCTTGTATTTGCTCCGAATTCAGTCTGTTGTTATATGTGGTTTTGGCTGAAGTAGATGAAAAAAATCTGGCCTCATGCAGATACATAGTTGGAATAGGGAAAAGTACTTTAATAGTTTTTCAGACAATTGTGAATATTCTTCTTTGATATTATACCAAGACTCAGTGATAGCTTCTTAAAGGTAAGTTGCAATGTAGCATTTGAAGCTCTGAAGGAAAAAATGAATTTCAGGACCCCAAACTCACTATGCCCAAGGCAAAGTTAAGCTTGAGAACTGAGTGACACAAAACTTGCCTTCCTTTTTTGTCCAAACAGAGAGCTGCCATTTCACATGCTTACTTTATCTTGTGTAAAATGTAAACTTATGGAACACAAGAGGAATACAAATTGACTTTTCGCCTACCTCCTTCTTTTTGCATGTAAAACATGGATTCACTGAGTGCTATTCAGAGTGGTTACAACAATGTAACCACTTCCCTCATTGCCTATCCATCCTCCTTTTTTTGCTTTCCCTTCTGCTTGTTATTTTCACTTTAAATATTGATGTTTCCAAAACCTTCTTTGGAAAAAGCACAAGTAACAGATCTTACTGTAACTTGTGTTTCTTTTTCCTAGGCACATCCTCAATTTTGGCAAAATAAACCTCTATCCAATTAGATTTGCCTCTGTCAATTTTTGGTTAATAAAACTATAGCAATAAGTTTTTTTTTCTTCAAATCAGTCACATTAAAATCCTTGGCCTTACACTTTAAATGGATCTTTTATCTGTGCATGATTTTTTAGCATCTTACTTTACTTATTTGGAAAATATTGTTCCCTGAGTTATGGAGATGTTCCAAGTCTTGACAAATTTCAATATATACGATATTTGAAAAATTACATTATTGATATCACCGCTAATCTCATCACAAAATCCTTTCAGTTTTGGGAAGCTGCCAACCCTCATAGAGGCAATAAACGTTTTCTAAAATTCTAATTTCTGCTTGAGAACTTGAGTTTTATCAATGGTAGCAACTACTGTCTTTTTTTTTTTTTCTGGAAGTAACTGGCTTACTTTGCTCATTTTCAATAAACTGTCCATCAAATATCCAAGTCTTATTGATCATATTTGGTTTGTCATTGTTTTTGAGACAGGGTCTGGCACCCAGGCCGGGATCCAGTGGCATGATCACAGCCCACTGCAGCAACAACTTCCCAGCTTCAAGCAATTCTCCTGCCTCAGCCTACTGAGTAGCTGGGACCACAGGCATGCGCCACCATGACCAGCTAATTTTTTTAATTTTTTATTTTTGTAGAGATCGGAGTCTCCCTGTGTTGCTCAGGCTGGTTTCAAATTCCTGGGCTCAATTGATCCTCTCACCTCAGCCTCCTAAAGTGCTGAAATTACAGGCATGAGCCACTGTGCCCAGCCAACCATAGTTTTTCTGTCAGTCATTCTTTCTATTAAAAATAGTGTCCTTTGATAAAAACGGTTTGCTCAGTTCCCAACTCAAACAAGGCCACCAGATTTTTTTTCTTAGACAACCATATTACTTTGACATGCAGCAGAAGAACTTCATGTGCATTTCCCGTTTCATCAGAAAGAATAATAAAAGCCATATATTCAAGGACTGAGATTGATTTATTTATTTATTTTGAGACAGACTCTCACTCTGTCGCCCAGGCTGAAGTGGAGTGACACGATCTCGGCTCACTGCAAATTCCGCCTCCGGGGTTCAAGCGATTCTTCTGCCTCAGCCACCCAAGTAGCTGGGACTACAGGCATATGTCACCACGCCCAGCTAATTTTTGTATTTTTAGAAAAGACGGGGTTTTGCCAGGTTAGCTAGGCTGGTCTCGAACTCTTGACCTCAGGTGATCCACCCACCTCAGCCTCCCAAAGTGCTGAGATTACAGGTGTGAGCCACTGCATCCTGCCTCCAGGACTGAGATTTAATACAATAAATATATATTTACTGCTTAATCAAGGAACACTTTTAAAGTGGTATGTGGTGTTCCTCTCCAATTTGAGTCAACCTCCCTTTTGCCTGAGTTACTGCAATTGCCTTTTTTTTTTTTTTTTTTTTTTTGAGACAGAGTCTTGCTCTGTCACCCAGGCTGGAGTGCAGTAGCACGATCTTGGCTCACTGCAAGCTCGGCCTCTCGGGTTCATGGCATTCTCCTGCCTCAGCCTCCCGAGTAGCTGGGACTACAGGTGCCTGCCACCATGCCTGGCTAATTTTTTTTTTTCTGCTTTTGTTTCAGTAGAGACGGGGTTTCACCGTGTTAGCCAGGATGGTCTAGATCTCCTGACCTCATGATCCGCCCGCCTCGGCCTCCCAAAGTGCTGGGATTACAGGCATGAGCCACCGCATCTGCCTGCAATTGCCTCTTAACTGATCTCTCTGCTGCTGCCCTAACCTTCCTATTAAATTCTTTTAAAAGGTAAATGATGACCTCCTCTGCTCAGAACCCTCCAGTTGTTTGCCGTCTTGCTCAGAGTGAAAGCCCAAGTCCCTGCAGTGGCTAACAAAGTCCTATCCCATTTGGCTCTCTGTGGGCTCATCTCCCATGGCTGTACAAGAGTAACCTGAGTGCAAGTGATAACCCAGTGAACAAGGCAAATAACTTCTTAGAATTATTGTGAAAGTACTTGAGGACCCTACTAAGGAGTCTTGGGGATTGGCAGGGGTTCTGAGATCATACTTTGACAACACCTTGTATAGTTATCAAAATGTCAGTTTTGCGCAGACTGCCTTAACTTTATACATGTTGAAAGTGGTTGTTGTTACCATTCTTATCATAATCCTTGCTTGTGTTTTCCAGTCCTTTAGCAATGCATTTGAGTGCTGTCATTACACACATACAACAAGCAACAGCAGTCTCTACTTGTAGTTTTTATGAAACCAGAATTTTAATGAGTAATGGCAGATATTGAGAAAAAGGTGAACAAGGCTCATGGGAGGTAACACAGAGCAGGAGGAAAAAATTTACTATAAATCCTTTTGTCTATTTTCACCATATTCATTTCGAAACTCTATCCTGTTCAGTTGCTAAAACCAAATAAAGTCAAAGGGCTAGCGTATCTATTTTATTAGAATAGATTACGCAATGCTTTTATGGCTTTGCCTTACAAGCAATCCTAATATTTGTATACAGTAAAGCCATTCTTTTTAAATATAATGCCTTCTATTGCATCAGCATTACATACAATGCCTATAAACATTATCTTATACAAAGCCAGGAATAACACACAAGAAATTTTCCTTAGAAGATTGGTGTAGTAATATTTATCTTTCAATGAAATGACTGAAACAATAGAATTAGAAATCTTTATAAAACAAGTGTTCATTTATATTGTTATGTGATATATAACCAAATCTGTAGTATGATCTTAAGGACAGGGTAATAAAAGGAAAGTTAATCAAGTTTCAACTAATATAAATTGATTATTCTACAAAATAACAGATTAGATTTTAAACTGAAAAATACTCCAAAGAAAAATAAGTACTTTTCAAAACAACAAATCAAAGAAATGAGCTTCTGTATGTTTCTTACTAACAGATTGCTCATTGATTAGTATATACATTTCCAAACACATTTTTCTGCATGGAAAGGAAGGAAGCCTCCACGACCCTTGCTATATACCCCATCAAGTAAGTCCAAGTGTAAAATGTTTTTTGAAATCAGCAGGCATTCTTTGCTTCAAATAATTCTGAAGGGATTTAGAAGCCAGATAGGATTAAGGCTTGGAATAAGGGGAAAAAATTCAGCTCAATCTTAACTGTAAATAAAAGAAAACATGGTGAGAGGGCAGAATGGAAACTTTACTTAGATCCAACAATTGCTACAGTGGTAAATCTGGCTTATTTAGAATTAATGTGGAAAACAGGCCCTAGTACAGAGTCACTAATCAAAGTATGCAAGAAGGAACTAGTGAAAAATATCTTTAAAACTAAAATTGAGCATCCTCATAGAGTCGGGGGCTTTGAAAAAATTCTTAAATCAAGTATTTTTAACCCACATCAATGTGATACTTGATGTTTTTCCCTAATTTGAGACATCTTCCCTCTTGCCTGAATTACTACAATTTCCTCTTAACTGATCTCCTTGCTGCTGCCTCCACTTTCCTATGGGATCCTTTTAAAGGGTAGATGATGACCTCCTCTGCTCAGAACCCTCCAATCGTTTCCCATCTTGCTCAGGGTGAAAGCCCAAGTCCTTGCAGTGGCTGACAGAGTCCTTTCCCATTTGGCTCTATCTGACCTCTTCTCCTACTGCTCGCTGCTTCGGCAATCTGCTCCAGCCATGCTGGTATCTTTGTTGTTCCTCCAATACTCTAGGCACAGTTCCTCTCTCAGGGATAGAGAATTTTCATAGGGTGGAGACTCTCCCCCAACCCAAAACACTGCAGCTCCTACCCTATTCAGTGTTCCTCCATTCACTTATCACCATCTAACACAATTTCATTTATTTATTTTGTTTTTATCTTTCATCACAAGAACATAAGCTCCAAGAGGGCAAAGATTTGGGTTTGTTTGTTCATTGCATGTCCCTGATGCTTTATTAAAGCAGGATTTGAAACACAGTTGCTGCTTAATTAACATTTGTTGAATGAACAGATGTAATTTCTGTCTATATTTTGTCAGATAAGCAACTACCTTCATTTTAGGTATGCATGTACACCTCACTATTATTCTTTAAATGAGCACGGAAGTTTTGCTTTTGAAATTCTTGCTTGGTTTTGTCAGATAGTGTTGACTAAGCTGAGGATTGTCACAGAAGTGGTCTCTATCTGGAAAGACCTAGACTAGAAAGAGAAGATGCTGTTGCCTCTCCCATTATCCTTTTATTCTTCCCCACTCCCTATCTTTCCTGTCTCTGTGAATGCACTGCTGAAGACCTAAGAAATCAAACTGGACGTCCACTCTCTGTACTCCATTTTGACTTGCTCTCCACTTCTGGGTGATCACTATCTATCATCACCCAATTCCATAGACTGGGTCATGCCTCAGGTTTTCCTTTGGTTTAGTGAACTTAATTACATACTGTCTTATCATCTTAAATCTCTGGAGAAGTAGGCACGAAAACAAGCAGGATGCAGGTTCTGGGGGAATTCACCTGCACTGATTTGCCTATGTGACAGTAGTGATTATAAGAGACATGGGAAACAAAGCATTTCAAATTATAGTCTACTTAAATATAAAGATGTAACTGTTCCTTTCTACATGTACCAACCACCTAGCTAAAGAGTATAAGGATAGTATTTGTGAGGCTAGTTTTCATCGTGTCTGCATGGATGAAGACTTGAAGATGGTTGTTTTCAAGTCATGTTTAAGATCCATGAATTAATTACTAGCATTTATAAACAGCTTTGGATTCCTGAAGTATATCTGACTCTTCTTTTGTCCACATTATGGCAAAGCCATGATTACAATAATCATTATGTTTAAAAATCACAGGATTAAAGGCAGCTAGAGAGGTCATGTGGTACACCTGCTAGCAGAACATATCCAAATCATCCAGTCTGTTTTTTTCCAACACTTCGAGAGAAGAGACACAATAATTTTCTCTCTACATAGGTTATTTGAAGATCAGAGATGTGGGAGTTTTTTTTTTTTTTAAGTTTCACTCCATAATCCAATTTTAACTTCATCTGAGATTACTTAAAGTATTTCCTTATTGTCCAACAGTTCTTTCTAGTTCTGCTTCTGAAAAGTAGAAGCTGGATAGAAAAGGCTGCTATAAGGATAGAAATAGGAATAATAGGAAGGAGGAGAGAGTAAAAGAGCAGGGTTGAAAGAAATCAGAAAGAGGAAAATCAAGAAGACGTGTAAAAAGAATTCAATGTTTTGTTACCCTTTCATTTTTTGATTTATAAGAGAATTGATCTGGTTCTTTTCTCCAGACATTTGCCGCCTGAATACAAAGTACAAACAGACTCAGGAATGACTAAGAGATGGATGGTTAACTATAGGTTAGCTCCAGAATAAACAAGTCCAGTTACTTAGAAATAAAATGTGTTAATTCTTAATATAATAAAAGCATGTAGTAATAAAAATTCAGTCTATATAGAAAGTTCTAAGAGGAAAAGGCAAAATTTCCTGCCTACTCCCCTGCCATGTCTAGTCCTTTTCAGCCACTGTTAAAATTCCTTGAGTGACTTTCCAGATAGAAAAATTAAGTGCATCTCTCTGCATATATGTGTGTGTGAATGTGTATGTGTATATGTGTGTCGGTGGGGTACGGGGGGTAGGATGAGGGATGCTTATTTGAAATTTTATTCCATAGAAATAATATCATACCTCCTATTTTTTCTTCCTAAAATAGACTAAAATACATTTTAAAGATCTTTCTACACGCTTCAGTCATTCAAGCTCCATAAGTAAGGGGAATTTGTCTTTTTAAGCACTGTTTTTCTTCAACAGAAACTTATTAGGTAAATGAATGAATAAATCAGCAAATGCCAGATTAACTTCACTCTTCTGAAACCAAGTATAACATTATATTGTTTTAATGTACCGGAAGTATCAGTCAACTACTGATAAACATTTAAAATATTTTCAGATTTTGGCTATTACTGTGCAAACATTCCTGAACATATCTGTTAAATCTTGCACATATGTGTCTGTAAGTAAATCTAAGGTAATTACTTAGCAATGTAATAGTTCAGTCAGTTGCATTTAAAATTTTGATAGATATTGCCTAACAGGTTGCATCAATTTACACTCTCACTTCAGTACAACTTCTACTCTAGGGCAACTCACAAAAACTAAACGTTAGTGACTAAAACACATATTCCTAGAAATGACATATTCTTTCATCTATAGCGTTTTAACAGAAACTGTGTCAGGTGAAATCTTGAAACACTAAAAATCCTTTGGCTCTGCTGAGCACTGGGGACATCCTTTTTCTCAAAGACAAAATGCTTGTTCCTACTGGCCGGCTTTTTGGAACTTGGCCAAAATTCACGCTAACTGCTTCTTTTGTATATTCTAATAATAAAATATAATCCTATTCTTCCATTTTTATAAAAAGTTTAATATTTGCATCCTTGTTAAATACAAATAACTATTCAAGAGCATGCAGATATCTTTGAGAAAGTTATTTATATGAAGGATACAGGTATCGGTCCTATAGAAGTGCTTGAAATCTATCACTTTGGCTCTCACATTAATTCCGCTGTCTATTGACATTAAAATAAGAAAAGTAACCTATAGACAGAAAGAAGGTTGTATTCCCATTAACATTCATGAGGGCTAAGCAGCCGAAGTCCTACATATCAAGCAGGGAATATATCCTTTGTCTGCTGATGAGAGAACGTCTCAGTGATAAATGGTTACAGACAGGGGTGTCATGAGGGCAACAACACACAGAACAATTCAGACAAACTTTTTAAAAAAGTCTTCTCCTGCAGTTTTTTTTTGTGGCGCTGGGAAGCACAGTGCCTATCCCTGCTAATAAAAGAAAACTATTGCAATGCAAAACTCCTAACCTTTGCAGAGGCACTTACCAGAAAACCAAAAACATACTCTTTGAAAAACAATTTAAAACCAAGCTTCAAAGGCTTTCTAATGTATAAATATTCAGACATTCTGAAAAGCACTGCTCTGCACCCTGCACCCCAGCTATTTGTGCCTAAAATGGATATTGTCGTAACAGTTAGCATGGTTGTCAAAGTGCAACGTCTCTAATATCAACACTGAGAGACATCAGACTCATTAAAATGCTTTACATTCATTAATTAGGTTGGTGCAAAAGTAGTTGCGGCTTTTGCCAAAGTCATACATAAATTCAAACACATTATGATACTCATTTAACACATTTGTGATAAAAATCATGTATGAAGTCATGAGTTTATTTAATAAGCTAATATTCCATAGAGTCCAATGGTGACTACCAATGACTCAGTTAATTTTCAAACCAAAATAAGTTAGATTACAATTTGTTGACTCCCTTGACTCCTCGAGCCAGGGAAAACATTTCCTGGGGCCTGACTCTAGGTGGCTCACTTCCCTCACCTAAAAACAGGAAGGGTGAGACAACCCCCTCCAACCCTCGTCCTCGGTCCCCCAAGGATTTCTCTCCAGAATTCTGCCTCTTCTGCAGCAGTCTGGAGTCTTCAGCATGAAAAGGGTAACAAACATGGCGCAATTTTCTGAAACCGTGATGTCAACAGTGTTTTTGAGGTGTCCTTTCCCACCCTAAAGAAAATTCGAGATGCACAGCAAGAAAAAAATGCAAGACAGCTCCCCGACACATCCTGAGCCACGCCTCGTCCTCAGGGTGCACCCGACAGTCTCTGCCAGCGCAGTGTGGACGCTGGACAAAGACGCAGCCAGTAGGTCGCTGGTGGTCGCGGGTTGGATCCGCTGACTTGGCCACCAAATCTTTTCCTCGGGGAGTGAAGCGGCACGGAAGGAGCGGAGTCAAGGGCGGGGCTGGGGATTGGACCCGCCCCCGGGCCCGGGGATTGGACCCGCCCCCGGGCCCCGGAGGAGTCCCTGCGCCTGCGTGCCGGGCGTGGACCTGTGGTTGGACTCCCCCGTTTTGGGCTGCCCTCCGCGTCCTCCCCCGCCCCTTCCCACCTCCGCCCACTTGACGCGATGACGCATCTCAGGTTTGCGGACGTGGCGGCGGCGTACGGCCCGGAAGGCGGAGACGTTGGCGGCAGAGGCGGAGGCGGACGGGGTCAGCCCAAAGCAGAGGCTCGGCCATGAACTTACCCGGGACAGCGGCGGCGGCGGACCTTTTGGCCATCTTCTCGCAGAGTGCTCCCTGCTAACGGGGACAGGTAAAGATGGTGGCAGGAGGTGAGGGTAGCCCGGTCCAGGAGGGCGGGGTTGAGCCCCAGCTGCGTCCTCACGGGAGGCGCTGAGCCTCGGCCACAGGTGTGGTGGGGGCTGCAGGGCCGGGCTCGGCCCGTGTGGCGGACACCCCCGAGACAGGGAAGAACTTCCAGACCAGCCCTGCCAGGCCCTCTTGTCACACTGTCGGGGAAACTGAGGCTCAGAGGAAGGACGCCTACCTGCTGGATTACCTGGGCAGCTAATTTCCCACCCAAACACAGCATTTCTCCCACGACTTTATGTTGGCGTGAAATATTCGCTGACGGCATCTTGTCACATCGTTCAAGTGTCATGCTGTGACAGAAGACTCTGAGACGTAATCTTCGCTGACGATAGCAGGGAAAGAAAAACTTGACGTGTGGAATACAGAGGGAGGAGGTAGTTAAGTTTTAAAAAACAAAATTGTCCCTGGCAGCGGATAGGGTGCCTTTGATTCTGTCCCTTTGCAGCTTTAACTTGTGCCCTGTGACCCTCTTATTGCACCTTGCTTAGTTAAAGAAGGTCAAGGCGAAACACCCAGCAGCCATTCTACAGTACGAAGGTGTTTGGGAAACCGTTTTCAGTTACAGACTGAGCTGAAGAATGCTTTAACACTGTTTTGTGGCCCCTCGTAATCTAGGTAGCACGCAGGCTTGTTCCAAGTTTCTGAAAGGGAGTTCGTGCCTTTTTCCTGCTCTAAGAGAATTAAGAGAGGTGAATAGAATTGAGCCAGATGACTTAAATATTATGTATTTTCTAATCTCTGAGTAGTAGACTGGAGTGATCGCCTGGGTCAGTCTGTTCACTTCGGTTGAAGACACAGCCAGTTCTTGATCATTCAGAATACCCAGATTTGTAACACGATAGTCAGCTGCCTGCATTTCATTATAAAGGGGAGTGGAGAGATAGTGAGACAGGTGAAGTTCTGACCTTTAAATTATATTTAGAAATATATCGTGGAGAGAGGTTGATAGAAACAAGTATCTAAAATGGCTTTGGGGCATTGCTTAGTGATTTTCAGTTAGCTGCACTACTAAGCCAATTTTGAAGTTCTAAGTACAAATTATTAGGGTGAAACTGTCTAACAAGACACATAAGTAGGTCGGTATAGCCAAGTGTAAATTGCTGTATATTAAGTCTTAACTTTTTTGATCATGGATGCCTTTTGAGAATATGAAGCAATGAAAATTCTCCCCAGAAAAATATACATATGTATAAAATTTGCCTGGAATCTACAGGATTCAAAGACATTCCCTAGGTTAAAGACACAAGATTAAAAAAAGACCTGGTTAAATGAGTGGAAATAAAACTGTTATCCTTGGAGGAAAAGATGTGGTCATGACTTCAAAACTGCTTTTGAGATATAAAATGTGATAGTTTTCTTTAGTTTCATAGCTGTCAAGTTAGGAATCCTAGTTCTTGGTAATAATGTAGCACTTCAGAGAACAGTTGAAATAATCTACTTAACATATAGCTATTAGTTATCTGTGTTATCTGAATAGGAACTCTTGAGCTTTTAAAGCATTATAATATTGCCATTAGAGCAAGGTCAGAAAGTGCTTTTCAAGGGTTGGATTCAACTATATTAAATAGTTTTAAAGCATTTTATGATAAGTATATGCCTAGAAAGTACAGGTTGGGTAGTCCTTACCTGAAATGCTTGAGACCGGAAGTGTTTCAGATTTCTTTGGATTTTGGAATGTTTGCATATACATAATAAGATACATTGGGGATGGGACCTGTCTGAACATGAAATTTGTGTTTCATATTCAACTTATACACATAGTCGGAAGGTAATTTTATATGATTTGTGCACAAAAGTTCTTGTACCTGGAACCATCAGCAGGTAAAAGTGTCACTATCTCAGCCACCCTTGTGGAAAATTTGTGGTTGTTTGGCATCACCGTCATTCCTAACTCTGAATTTGTATGCTACTAATAAGCAGTCATTTTCTTACACTTTTTCACACATAAGTGCTTAACAGTAAAAAAAAAAAAAAAAATACCATTAATACAGTGAAAAAATAATGTGTTCAGGGTACCTAAGCACATCACCAGAATACCTGTACAGGTTTAGCATTCCTAATCTGAAATCTGAAACGTCAGTTGTGGAATTTTCCATTTGTGGCTTCATGTCAGCACTCAAAGTATTTCAAATTTCAGAGTATTTAAGATTGGATTTTTGGGTTAGGGATTCTCAACCTTTGTAATTTATTGTCATCCATTTTATATACTCAGAGTTTTGGAGTTGGTCTTTTCTGTTTTTTGTTTGTTTGTTTTTGTTTCGCTTGGTACTCATCCATAGTATTCAAAAAATAGTGAGTCTTTGAGATGTTATTTTGCTTTGGCTTCCATGACATAACACTTCCATGGTTTCTCCCTCTTCTGGACACTCCTTATCCATATTTTCAGGCTGATTTCCTTTCACCAAGATACTGAATTTTGGACTTCTTCAAGGCTCAGTCTTGGACCCTCTTCTTTTTCTATACTCTCTAGGTAATATATGTACTCACAAATTCATTTTCATCTATGTGCAAATTAGTCATGAAATTTTATTTCTAACCTAGACCTTTTCTCTGAGTTTGACTATATAGCCCATTTGTCTATTTGCCATTCCTTTTTACTATCTTAGAGGAATTCATAATCATAGCCATGCACCTCCTCCCCCAGCTCCTCTTCCATATCTCAGAGAATGGCACCACAATGTATTATGCAAATCAGAAATCTTGGTGTGATGCTTAATTTACTCCCTCTCTTCATGTCTGAACCACCTTGAGTGCAAAGAATTTTATCTCCAAAGTGCTTCTTACTACTTCCCTCCATCTTTCCCAACAAGAACTGAAAGCAGTCTGCCCCTTCTTATGTGAATAATTAACACGAAGCCAAAACTGTGAATGTGGAATTAGTTTTTTAGGTTCTTGTGTTCCTAATTAAAGAGAGTAGATAGATCAACTTGATGATGGTGAGTTGAGAGTTAGTATGCAAGTAAACAAAAAGTATTCATTGATGCCTGTTTTTAACTTAGGTCAGCTCCCAGTCAGTCTTACAATGGTTTTTCTAAAGTATAAATGAACACAGTAACCTAAAATCTGTTCACAGTCTTTATGGACCATAAGTTGAATTTGATGAGGACTCTAAGTTGGCTAAAAAGCTTCCAGGGAAGAAAAATTCCTGCTTCCAGGGAAGCAAAATCATAACCTATATTGCAGGCATATCTGCACTAAATATAAATACCAAAGTCCAGGAGGAAGTAATACGAAAGATACTCCAATCCTGAATGAAGTTGAAATGCAGAACAAGCTGGAAAGTTTTGAATTCATGAAAGTATTATGTGTATATAAAACATGCTTTGATTCCATCAGAGCTATAAGTTATATAGTCACAAGTTTTTAAGACATAACACAATTATTTCTCTGATTTTCTTCACATACTCAGAATAAGGGGAATTTACGATTTTATATTTAATGTAATATTTTATAGTATTTAATTTTATAAGTTATATTTTTACCAAAAGAATTATAGCAATTTGCCTTTGTTAATATGTAATTACTCCACGTGTTTAGTGATATATGATCTAATAGAGGAGATTACCTCTTCTTCCCTTACCTTTGTCTCCACTGCCAAATACGTTTGTTCTACTTTAACAGTTGTAAAACCTGAACCTAGGCCAGGCGCAGTGGCTCACACCTGTAATCGTAGCACTTTGGGAGGCTGAAGTGGGCAGATCACCTGAGGTCAAGAGTTCGAGACCAGCCTGGCCAACATGGTGAAACCCTGTCTCTACTAAAAATACAAAAATTAGCTGGGCGTAGTGGTGGGCGCCTGTAATCCCAGCTACTCGGGAGACTGAAACAGGAGAATCACTTAAACCTGGGAGGCAAAGGTTGCAGTGAGCTGAGATCGCACTACTGCACTCCAGCCTGGGTGACAGAGTGAGACTCCATCTCAAAACAAAACAAAACAAAACAAAAAAACGAACTTAAACCTAAATGTTTAAATAACTAAAACCATTAAAACAAAAACAAAAGATTGTGTCCTGAATGTACGATGCATGCAAATCAGTCAGTTGGATCAGCTACATTCCAAAATTTTCTCTGCTTTTTTTTTCCTCCAGATTTTAACATTATGGCAGGGAGGCATCAGAATCGTAGTTTTCCTCTTCCAGGAGTTCAGTCAAGTGGTCAAGTACATGCATTTGGAAATTGTTCAGACAGTGATATTTTGGAGGAGGATGCTGAAGTGTATGAACTTCGATCCAGAGGAAAAGAGAAAGTCCGAAGAAGTACATCAAGAGATAGACTTGACGACATTATAGTATTAACAAAAGATATACAAGAAGGAGATACATTAAATGCAATAGCCCTTCAGTACTGTTGTACGGTAAGTTTTAATATTACATAATGCAATTCAGAAGAAATTATTTGTTTACGCACACTGAAATAAATTCTGTGTCCTTTTTTACCTTGTTTATTCCTTTCTCCATTTTTTGCTCTTATTTTTTGCATAGAAATCTGTGTCACATGGGCTGGGCGCGGTGGCTCACGCCTGTAATCCCAGCACTTTGGGAGGCCGAGGCGGGTGGATCACGAGGTCAGGAGCTTGAGACCATCCTAGCTAACACAGTGAAACCCCGTCTCTACTAAAAATACAAAAAAATTAGCCGGGCGTGTTGGCAGGCGCCTGTAGTCCCAGCTACTCTGGAGGCTGAGGCAGGAGAATGGCATGAACCTGGGAGGCGGAGCTTGCAGGAGCCGAGATCGCGCCACTGCACTCCAGCCTGGGCGACCGAGCGAGACTCCGTCTCCAAAAAAGGAAAGAAAAAAGAAATCTGTGTCACATTTGTAGATGTTTACTTTTTAAATATTTAACAAATACTTGAATTTCTGTGTATTTCCAAATCCACGAATTTCAGTATTGAAAAACACTCAACTATGTTATCTTCTTATTCAAATGGTAAGAAAATGTGGAAATGTGTAAGGAAAAGCTTTTCCCTGCCCCAATTTCTTGAGATAACCAGCATTAACACTTTGGCATGTAGGAATGCTTTACCTTTTTTTGTGCTCATAAGTATTTATTTATATATACATATTTGGGGAGTTAGTAATCTTTGTATTTTTAAAAGTGGATTATATTATGCATTTTACTCTGCAACTTGCATTTTTCATTCTTTAGTGTATCATGGACACCCTCATGACCATCCCTCAAAGCCTTATTAACTCATTATTTTAAATGGTTGTATAATGTCTGTAGTATTAACGTTCCAGTATTTTTAAGCCATTGCCCTATTAATTGATACTCAGGATTTTCTTGGTGTTTTACCTTGTGTGGCAAATATCATCACAACTATATCTTTAAATGGCACTGCCTTTACTTCTGTGGGATAGATCCTAAAAGTGGGATTGCCAGATAAGAGGAAAGGTGTATTTTTAATTTTAATAGATACTATACTCTATTTGGACCCATTTTCTCTCTGTGTCATTATGTCCATCTTGAGGCCTTAGCAGGATATTTTTATATCCACATTGATATGGAAACTGGTTAGAACATTTGTTTTCAAACTTTTTGTTCTCATACTCCCAATAGAATTTTGAAATATATGTACTATGTACCTCATTGCACATTTTTAAGTGAACTTCCTAAATTCTTCCTCATGACTTAACATAGTTACAAATGGTATAATTTTCAGAATGTTGTATTAACATTTAAAAATAAGACTGTTAGAGTGCTCTTTAAATGCATCCACAGAATTCTAAGTACCACCAGGATTTGCTACCTGAAATTTGTATTTTTAAAAAAAGTGGAAAGTGTGTGTATGAGAGCTCTTTTTTCAATAGCATGAGATTTTATATCATTCCTTTTTCTCATTAATATTTTCATCTTCCCCCCAAATTTTTCATGATGTAAAGTATTTTTATACTTGAAAAACCTTTTATTGATTACCTGTAATACTTCTCTGCAATAGGAACACACATGTCTATAAGTTTATATTATATAAATGTATTTATATTCTAAAAAAATTATGGTCATGAGGTTTTCTTCTACATTTGCAACTATTGCAATAATTCACATTTCTTATTACAATTCACAATTCATCAAAACATTTCAAATTTTGATATTAAAATTTAATAAAATATTTTATTAAAATGAATTTTTTGATGTGGTGTAAGAGCTGGGTAGTTTTTTCCTCCTACCTTGCTCATGTATGAAAACATCAATTCTTGCCATTATTAAATCAGAAAATATCTAAGTTTATTTCTAAATGCAAATAAACATGTGAGTAAATGTTTTGTAGAGAAATAAGACCATTGATAAATAAATTACAGAATATGTCATAGAAGGTAGATGGTGGAATACACTTCAAAATGAGACACAAGGCTAAAAAACATCAAGGTACAGATCCGAGAGGAGAGTTTGTGATTCAGTAGTTTTATAAGACATTAGCTTTCTTTTAATGAACCTAGAAAATTTTCTTAGGGAAATTTAACATACCATCTGAATAATTAAAAATAGGTCATATTTCCAATGAGGTGTAAAGATGTTTCAGGCATTCAACAGTGATGTGAAGAAGATTTCAAGGAGGAAATATGGTAAACAACAAAGGGAATTTTCATAGTTATTTCCGAAGTGAGTGGCACAGACTATTTGGGATGAAATGCTTTGAGACACTATGGAAAAGTTTGATCCATACAGTAAGAGAACAAATATTGTAAGGTTTTAACAGGAGTGATACAGAATGGAAAAGTTTGATCCATATAGTAAGAGAATACAATTATTGTAGAGTTTTAACAGGAGTGATACAGAATAGCAGAGGGGCCTGCTGATGAATTGAAGGGGATCCAATAAAGAGATTACTGGAATAATAAAGATGATCAGGACTTAGACTAAAATATTTGTGATAAGGATAGAGAAGAAGTGTTAATGTATTGGGGGAAATCACAGGATATATCAGCTGAATGCTTATGTGAAATGAGAATGATGAAAAGTACTTAAATGGAGAGATGGCATTGGCCACTGTATTAGTCTGTGTTCACATTGCTATAAAGAAATACCTGAGACTGGGTAGTTTATAAGAAAAGAGGTTTAATTGGCTCATGGTTCTGCAGGTTGTACATAAGCAGGCAGCATCTACTTCTGGGGAGGCCTCAGAGAGCTTTTACTTAACGGCAGAAGGCAAAGCCAGAGCAGGCATTTTCACATGGCTGGAGCAGGAAGAAGAGCGAGTGAGGGAGGAGGTTCCACACACTTTTAAACAATCAGATCTCACAAGAACTCAGGACAGTATCAAGGGGGAAATCTACCTCCATGATCCAATCACCTCCCCCAGGCCCCACCCCTAACATTGGAGATTACAAGATGACATGAGATTTGGGTGGGGACATATCAGCCACTATAGTGGGAAAGGGATGAACAGAATTAGTTAAGATAAGCAGTGCTCCTTTTTGATGGAAGCATAAGCAACAAAAAAAATTATAAAAATATTTATCATTATAAAAGGATCTATCATTTAAAAAATACAGTAAGTAGCTAGTGGTATATTCCACTTAGAAATAATCTTAAGAATTATTAAAAATCTGTCAGTTATACAACTGTGATGAGAAGAATAAAAAGTCCAAGGTTGGAATCTTGAATGCAACCAAGGAAGTTGGCATAGCATAGAAGTCATTATAGGGATATTCAGGGAGATAACTTAGGTAGATACTAAACCTTGGAACCCTAATTCAAAAAGAGTATTAAGTAGTTATTAGTAAGAGTACACAATACCAAGCAAAAGAGCATTTAAAGAGAATGGGGTCAGACTGGGATTTTTCAGTGAATCTTCATTTGCTATAAGACAAAACAGTGCGAAGGTAGTAAGATGATAAAACACACTTTATCTTTACTGTTTCATCTTTTAGTTATTGTTCAACCCTTTCCTTCCAATCCCCCCACACATACATTGCAAGATAGTTTTTCCAGCTTGACCTCTTTTAGTCTTCATTGTACTTGATCACGAATCTACAGTGGATTCTGTTCACTACTCCCTGCTAAAGACCCTCTCTGCTTGACCACCTTGACTTTTCAGGTTTCTGGTTTTCCTACTATTAACATTTAATAATAGCTAACTTTTATATGACATACCATAAATCACTGTTCTGAGTGTCCTACAACATTTAAATCATTAATGTTCACCTCAACCCTATAATGTAGGTAGTATTATTACTGCCATATTGCAGGTGTGGAACCTTAATGGCAAAGAGGTTAAACAACTTGCCCCAGGTCATACAGCTAGAAAGTGTCAAAGCCATGCCTCAAACCCAGTTATCCATGCTTTTAACCACTATTGTATATTCCCTTCCTGGCCATTCGTAATCTCCTTTGTGGATTTTTGTTACTCAGCATACCCATCAAATGTTGGAGTTCTTCAGGGATGATCTTGTTGCTTTTTTCTCTCAGGCTTTTTCTAGTGAATCTCTCTACTCTTTGACCTCTTTGACTTCAATTACTTTTTTTTTTTTTGAGATGGAGTCTCGCTCTGTTGCCCAGGCTGGAGTGCAGTGGCACAATCTCTGCTCACTGTAACCACCACCTCCCGGCTTCCAGTAATTCTCCTGCCTCAGCCTCCGGAGTAGCTGGGACTACAGGCATGCACCACCATGCCTGGCTAATTTTTGTATTTTTAGTAGAGATGGGGTTTCACCTGTTGGCCACACTGGTCTTGAACTCCTGACCTCAGGTGATCTACCTGCCTCGGCCTCCCAAAGTGCTGGGATTACAGGCATGAGCCACCACGTCTGGCTGACTTCAATTACATTTTTGCTGATAGTCCATAAATCTGTGTCTCTAGCCGAGATCGTTCTTGAGTTTCAGACATATATCTACAACTCTGTCCTGAACATCTTCCACTTCTGTATCTCAAGCAGCTCCAAGTCAGCATATCTAAAATCTGCATTTAGCCTCTTTTTACCCTCCACAGTGTTCCATTTCTCAATGAATGCCATCGTCCATCAAGTTGACCAAACCAGAAATCTAAGCTTCATACTAGACCCACTTTATCTCTCTGACATGAATCAGGTGATACATGATTAGGTTTTAAAGTATTGATGGAAATGAATGGGACTAATAGATGGTGGGAGAGCCTGGCATACCAATTGGTAATCTGCCAGACACTCCCCTCTTCCCCCAACACAGTGGAATAGGATATACAGACAGGTTATCTCACAGTGGATGGGATAATACAAACAGGTTGAGGAATGTATAATATATAGAGAAAAAGCTTATAAAAGTGATTAATCTTGAAAGTAGTTGAATAATGCATTTACACTGAGAAGTTTGGGAGGGAAATGGCTTCAGAAATAAGGGGGATAAATTACCAATTTTTTAAATTCTAAGGTATATATGCTTTTCCACACATTTTAGCATCTTTTTTTGGAATGGTGGCATCTTCAATTTTTGGTGAAGTTTTTTTTTTCCCTAGATATACATAAAATAATACTGCATCTTAGAGTTATGGCATCTTAGTTTTGATAAAATATGGTAGTTTTAGTTGGGTAGCATTTGTCTATATTCCAGTTTCCAAACTGGAATAAAGAACATAACTACCCATAATCCTTCCTTCACAAATTGTTTACAAGCAGAAGGACTGTGGTATTTATGCATGATGCACAAAGGGAAGCAGCAAAGGATTCTAGAATCTACTTAAATAGCATTAATTAGTGTTACTAACATATATGGGTGATAGTAAAAAGTAGTTGGTGATTTCCTAAGATTGGTACATCTAAAGTGGTGTAGAATTCTCATCTACAAATAAAATTAAAATTTCTCTGGGTGCAACTTAATACTACTAATAATTCAACTTTTTTTTTCCTCCAAAAGTAACTAGAATGAATGACTATTGCTGCCTTTATTTTGATTGGAATTCAGTTGTATGTTGCTTTTTTTTCCCCCCCACAGGTAGCAGATATCAAGAGAGTTAACAATCTCATCAGTGATCAAGACTTTTTTGCCCTTAGGTCTATCAAAATTCCAGTAAAAAAGTTCAGTTCCTTGACCGAAACACTTTGTCCTCCAAAAGGAAGACAGACTTCACGTCATTCATCTGTTCAATACTCTTCCGAACAACAGGAAATTTTGCCAGCTAATGATTCTCTTGCTTACAGTGACTCAGCTGGTAGCTTTTTAAAAGAAGTAGACCGAGACATAGAACAAATAGTAAAGTGTACAGACAATAAGAGAGAGAACCTCAATGAGGTAGTATCGGCCTTAACAGCACAACAAATGCGTTTTGAACCTGATAACAAAAACACTCAACGTAAAGACCCCTATTATGGAGCAGACTGGGGAATAGGGTGGTGGACAGCTGTAGTGATAATGTTGATAGTAGGTATAATAACACCAGTGTTTTATTTGTTGTATTATGAAATTTTAGCTAAGGTGGATGTTAGTCATCATTCAACAGTGGACTCTTCACATTTACATTCAAAAATCACACCCCCATCACAGCAGAGAGAAATGGAAAATGGAATTGTGCCAACTAAAGGAATACATTTCAGCCAACAAGATGATCATAAACTGTATAGTCAAGATTCTCAGTCACCTGCTGCTCAACAGGAAACATAGCAATTAGCTCATAATCAAATGTTAGTGGTCACATGTGCATCTGGAATGTGGTGAATCAGTTATATCCAATAATAGCTTCAAAGGCAGAATTTAGAGAGATTGAGGATGCTTTTGTTTTTAACAAAAGGGTTTCACACTTTGAAAATTTTTTGAGCAACTAGTTGTTGATGTTGAGAGCAGTTGATCCATAAATCTGGTGTGTGAATGTTTCAAGCAGAAATTAATTTAAATGTGTGTTTAGGAAGTACTTAACTTGGAAGATGTATCATTTTTCTTAAAATGCATGTTTAAATTTTATTTTTTTAAGTAATTTTTAAAAAGTTTATTAATGTTAAATTTATGATGCAGAATGATAGCATCAGATGTCTGCAGCTGAAAAAAATTTACTACTATGAACCCCCAAAATATTCAGTTGCAAGAAAATTTGATTCTAAAATTATTCATGGTAGGATACGTAACACACCCCTTCAAAACTTTTAAAAAATACATTTAGCACATGTGCTATGAAAGCATACGTACAAAGAGAAAGGGGAAAGTGATTTATAATTCCTACAACAGAGGCCAAGAAATAGATTAAAATATTTTCAAGACCCCAAAATAATGTATTATGGTTGGGAAGTCAGTAGAACACTGGAATAGGTGAAGACCTGACAGTAATTTTTGTCTTAAGAATGCTTTCTTTAGGACAGACCCTTTAACCTCACCTCTGTGCATCTGTTTTTAAAATGATTATATTTGCCTCTGATATTTGAAAGCACTTTTGTAGTTTTGATGATGAAAAATATATTAAACGTGCATATTACCATTATTTAGGAAATAATTCCTTATATACTGTGATAAATCATTGCTGTTACATACAGTAACATGCCTTAATTACATTTAATGCCTTACTGCTTTATGTAAGTAAATCCAAGTTTCAGAATTAAAAATAAGCATTATTTCATATGGTCCAATCAGATTCGTTACATAGGCTATATAAATTTGTCTCCATTTTCACCATCAAGCACAAATAATTGGGTCAAAACTGCCTTTGAGGTCTGTTGAAGAAAATGGTTCATTAAGCAAAAAAGAGTAGAGGTATTTTATATTAGCAGTAACAGACAAATTATTTAGTAATCCCTTAACCTCTGTTTTTCAAAGAGAAAATATCCAATTTAGACTTTTTTCCTGATCTCTATATATAGCATCAAATTGGGAAACAAAGGCCAAAGGTGTATAGATTGCTTGAAAGGGGGTGGTAGTGCCTCTTTTTAAGATCTGTTGAGTCGGCTACAGTCTGGCTAAGTAAGAAGCATTTGCATACTGATTCCATCATTTAATCTTTAAAAGTATGTGTTTTAAAAATGTAACCAGAATGATTCTTCAATAGAAATGAGATTTGGTGGAGTCTGGATTGCCTGTTTTGTATATAATATATACTTAAGATATATAATACCACCTCATTTTCTGGGCATTATTTCCTAATTGTTGATGTTTCAGGCTTTTGATAAGTCATTTTATATATTTCAAATTTAACTCAGAATAAGTAAATATTTATGGCAAATGCAGTTTTATGTACTTTCAGGAGAAGACCATCAGGAAAAGACAGGACAAAGAAGTCAAACATTAAAGCCCTTGCAAATATTAGAGGACCTTAGACAATTACCAAAAAGTGTTTAATAGGGAAGTTGCAAATGATTCTCTTAGTAAATTAAACATTTAAAAAGTAGTTTTAATGTGCCTTGGGCATCTTGAAAAGAAGAGTGTGATATAATTTATGCTTAGTGTTAACTGGTCATTTTACATTGTATTTATTAAGTCTGCTGAAAAATGAGGTTTTAAGGAAGAAAATGCAGATTATTTTAGGGTAAACAGGCCAGGTGTCCTTTGAAGAACTTTGTTTACATCAAATTGATGAAATTACAGTCAGTGATTCCTTACTTTTTTTGCTAGTTGTACTTTGAAATTGTTATGGGTTCGATTTCCAAAATATGTAACTTATTTTTTAAAGGAATAAGGTGTGCTGTGTATTTGTTGATTAAAAATCATTTGTCTTGCAGAGTATCCTTTTTTGAAGGAAATATACATCCTTATAACACATCAGGTAGTTTTCTTTTTTCTGTATTTAAATTATATATTTGAATTAATTGAATATAATTTGAGTTACATATAATTCTATATAAAGGTTACATATTGAATTATGGTTCTAATCTGTTTAGGAAAGAAATGAATTTTCTAAGCATTTAATACATTTGGAATAATTTTAGTTTCTAAAAAGTACTAATGTAAGTTAAGTTTATATCAAATGCAAATTACCTTGTATAACTAACAAGCACAGTTATTGTTTAACATTATGGATTTTAATTGTGTTGACACCCTTCTTTGAATTTGTTGCTTTACATGTGTGTCTGTGTGTGTGTCTGCATGTGTGCACGCATGTACTTGTATGCAATGTAAAAGTAACAGCAGAATCATTGCATTTGGTTTACTTAAAATTTTGGAGTTAGCAAGTAAACAAAAAGCTGATAGTTTTATGAAGTCTCGGTTAAAATAAAATTTCTTTGCTATCTCACTCCTAGGAAGTTATGGAGTTCATATTTTCAAAAGATATGTTAAAAATGGTTACACACTCTGCTGGCCACATTAAAAATTAGAAGACTCATGTTAAATTATCTCCTCCAAAGGACTTTTTATTTACAGCTTTTCTTTTCCTGGACTCTACCTGCTTGGTTCAGTGTCCTGAAGAGTTATTTAAATGAACCACTACTTAGTAATTAGTTCTTTTTTAAAGTATCTACTTCTAAAATTACCTAGTTGAAAATATGAAGGATATGCTTAGTTTTAGAAATATCATGAAGCAAGGATCTAGTCAGTGTTACAGGGTAAAGGTGGAGTTTTTTAAAGTCTGTATTTAAATGGTGCACTGATGGATTCATTTTTAATTTGCATTACAAAAATGTTGCTCAGGTAATCAGTATTTTCTTCCACGTATGTGCATATTGCACTGTTAGATCATAGAAATATCTGAATGCTTTAATTTTTATGTATGCAAAATCTATAAATCTTTTGTATAATGTATTTTATACAAATGTAACTGTAGAACATTGTTAGCATGTGTATCTGTAAAACCAGTTTTTAAAATTTTTTGCCCCTTATTTTTCATATTTTGAAAGATCTCCAACATGTAATAAAGTTTCTCTTATTCAATCTAAAATGGAAGCCAGTGAATTTAATTGAATAAAGCAAAGCTTTTCTCCACTTTCAAACTATCTAATATAGAGATATTATGTAAGATAGAGCAGATTGCCAAAGGTTTACCAATTCAGATTTCTTATTTGCTACAGTGAAGCAGAATACCTTGGATTATTTGTAAGACATAGATGAAATATTTTAGATGAATGTTCTTTGGGAGATTTTCCTCAGGGTAAGATCTGGTAAGGCATGGTCCAGGAATTGCTATGAAGTTGTAGATGAGTCATTATCTATAGATTATAACCTGCTCTCTTTATATGTGATTTTAATTTATTATAAAACAACCTCAAGAATACTGTTTAAAAGATTATTAGCAGAAAAATTGAGAAAGTTCTTTGGAGCTTTTATTTATTTAATGGAGGAATGTGTATAAACCCTGATTTTTTTCTTCCATTTTCAAATGCATCTTGATCTTAATATTGTGTTAATTTTTTTTAATAAATAGTAATTTTTACTACAGAGGTTTTTTTAAATTTTTTTTTGGAGACAGGCTCTTGCTCTGTTGCCCAGGCTGGAGTGCAATAGCATGATGGTTCACTGCAGCCTCGAACTCCTGGGGCCAACTGATCCTCCCATGTGAGCCTCCCAAGTAGCCGGGACTACAGGCACATGCCACCACACGGGCTTGAGATTTTAACCATGTAAAGGCAAAGCCATCGACACTGTACATTTGAAGGTAGTGAAGTGAAAAGTTTAAAAAGAATCTTCTGAATGTCTTAACATTCTCTGGTATCCACTATAAGTCAGCCCAAGCATGAATGATCACACTAAATTATATTGTCTGCCAAATCTCTTAAGTTATCATAACTCGTGTGTGTGTGTGTGTGTGTGTTGCCATCTTGGCTCACTGAAGCCTCGACCTCCTGGGCTCAAGCAGTCCTCCCACCTCAGCCTCCTCTTGGCCCATTGAAGCCTTGACCTCCTGAGCTCAAATAATTCTCCAACCTCAGCCTCCCGAGTAGCTGGGACTATAGGCACAGACCAGCATGCCCATCTCACAACAACTTTTTTGAATAATCATTAACCAGAGTTTTGTTGTTTGTGGTGATTGTTTATTCAAGAATATTTGGAACAAACATCCCTGCTTAATAGTTACTAGTTAAGATCTATATTAACAAATTAGTTTTCTCTAACAAATAAACATTTAAATAAGTTCAAAATAAAACATCTTACTATAAAACAAACGAACACATTTTGTTTTGTAAGAATTTAATGTGTAAATAAATACAGAAAAACAAGCATTACAGCAACCAGTTTTGCTCATGATAGCAATTTTAAAGACACTTCAACAAATACTTTTATGTAAGAGGCTAATTCTGCAAAATAACATTCACTTTCCTATGGAATAATTTCACAGTCCCAGATTTTAAGCCAGAAAAATGAGACTCATGCTGGTAAAGCAACCTGCAAATCCTGCTTGTTCTTGCAACTAGTATACTTTAACATTGTAAAAGGATCTTTCAAAGGGGGAAAGAAGGCTCTTAACGGTACCTCCCAGAGTAAATCCTTGCCCCAAGGGGCTGCCCTGCTATCTGCAAGACTAAAATGGTCATGACAAATTCAAAGCTAAAAAAAGAAATAACCTTTATCTTCAGTGTATTTGCCTGGTTCAAGTGGTTATCTGCAGATTTATAAGTAGGTAAATAGAACAATATTGATAAGATTTCTGAAAACTAAATTGTATTTGGCTCTGGTACTAAGGAGTTGAGAGAATAAAACACCTATGTTAATTATCAACCGCAAATGACAACTTTTTGTGAGGTTTCTATTCTAAGGCTTACTTTATTCGTGTATTCCATTTAGAATCTTAAAATTTTTTGACAACTTCCTTTAAACAAGAAGTAATTCACAAATGGTTAACACAGCACTAAACTAATAAGATAGGTCCTCACACCCATCTTGAATTATTTAAGAAAGTATTGCCATTGAAACATCTTTTTCCTGAGAAATTCATATTGCAGAATGGCACAAGACAATACACATTTTCTCCAATTTTCTGCATGAATACAAGATAGGAAAATCAGATTACAATATATTTTGTGAGGAAAACATGTTTCTTAAAATTGTGCTTTCAGTTACTCTCCAAACTACAAATTTTTAGAGGGTGAGAGCCAAATGTAAGTTAAGAAGTGATCTTTAAGGCAAGAGAATGAATACATATGGTAAATTTTGGTTGGTGTTTAAACAATTTTTATAGGAAATTGTTTACGAGTGGAGAAACTAAGGCACAGAAACAACCAAGCTCAGGTTCAAGGTTGAGTTTAATAGTATAGGTAGAAATAGAATCTAGGGATCTGATTCTCATATTAGAGGATAATATCTCCCCAAAGGGGAAAAATAAAATTATTTCTTTTGGTAGATAACATTGATAAATCATTTTTGAAATATATAATATGAATTTCCTTGAAAATCTTTGGCATTTCTGAGAGTCTTTGTAGGCTGAGGTTTTTAGGTATTTTTTCCCAAAAAATATATAAAGTTAGGGGAGCTAGCTTTAAAGTTAAACAACAAAAATATTAATATTAATTTCAAAATGACCTGAGTTCATTTTGCATTTTTATATAAATCAATTGTACACTTGAGTACTCTGAAACATAAAAGGCCACCACACTTCACTTCATAGAGTTCACACACATGCATTCTACATATTTATATGACCAGAACTTATTTCACATTTACATAAAGTATAAAATAAAATGTCTTAGTCAAATTTTTCATAAGCCCAACTATTTGAAGATGTCAGTTATTACAGTGGGATGATTAATTCATATACAGTATTAAGTCTCAAATTCAAGTATTATAATATTCACCCCATGTGAAAGTTTCTTTGTACTGGCTAAGATGTGAGCTGTGAAATTTATATTGCTCAGTTTGGTATTTTTCCCTATGTGTATGTTTTCCATCACAAAACCTCTGTCTCACAATTCTGTACTTGTAAGAGCTCAGGTAGGTTTATGTAGTCATAATGCAGTAGTCTAGAACACACCATGTAAAGGTAAAAAATAAAATTATTTTCAAGTTTCTTTGTTTTTAAAGTGCTCCACGTGCTGTATTATATCAACTTTCAGGTTATAGAAATCCATTATGACTAGCAATAGTTTTACAAAAGATCAGCAGTTAAGCAAGAATGATTTGTTCAAGTATGTATACATAGATTAAGAGAGCAAAAATTCTTTAGGCACATTCATATTCAAATCATACAAAAAAACCCATGAGAGTACATAAGAGAGATGGCAGAGGTGTTTAGAAGGAATGTCAGAGTGTCAGGGAATAATTTTTAAGGTAACTAGTATGTAAACTCAAAGTGGTTTTGAATATTTTGGTAACAACTATTTGTCCAAAACAACAGAAACAAGTACTTATTCCTTATCAGAAATAAAATACAAATCAAGTCTGTCCAAATGTTCAGAAGCTGCATCATAAAAATATTTTTTGAAAAATTTCATGCCTAATAGGTTGCCTCATCCATGTTGTCATCACTGTCTGCGCCAAAATCATCTCCATCTTCAAAGTATGAATTAATGTAGTCATTTTCCTAAGTGAAATGATATATTCCTTTGTAAACGTTAAAATGAATGAGTAGTAAGAAAATATTCCAGGCCTAAAAGTCTCTGCTTTTTATCTGCTTCAAAAACACAACAGTTTTCACTTGTGTTTACCTGTGCCGCTTTCTTCCTTAAGACCACCACCTTCCACTCTTGTCAGGCACTAACTAGCTAAGAGAACATGAAGGGTTGCCCATACCATCTCAATAGGATAATATAGCTACTAACACATTACAGCTTACTGGGATGATACATAGTTTAGTTAGCTAAACCACTAAACACTTACCCAAAAAATGCACAGACAAGAAAAAAAGCCAGTTTACATTAACATCCATTAGACTACACCAGTACTGAGATTTTTAGTCATAAAACATAACTAAGCATAAGCCAGAAAGACTTTTACTTCCTATTAAAAAAAAAAAAAAAGGCATGATACCAAACCAAATCCAAAAGATGCCTATATTATATTCTATCTAGGACCTCTTAGTTTCTTTTTCTTGTGGCTGAATAAGACTATCATCCATGCAAATAACTCAGAAAATATCTGTGCTTTCTATCAAAAATTCAAATATTACTTTCTTATTTATTTTTCCGGGCCTCCAGTATCTTACAATCAAAAATCCACTTTGGATATAAATTAAACCTAAGAGTTATTAATCAGTTGCAATGTATGGATTGTATTTGGATTCTGTTTGGAACAAACAAACTTTTTGAGACAACCAAGAAAATTCAATACTGGCCAGATATTTGATGAAATTAAGGAATTATATTTCATTGTATGGGGTGTTATAATGATACAGTGATGTTGTTAAAGAGCCCTTATTTTTGAATCCATACTGACATATTTGTGGATGAAATGATACGATGCCTAGGATTTTCTTTGGAATCCAAGGCACATGGGGCACGGGGAATGGGATGGGTGGACAGGGAGGGATTGGGTAGATGAATGAGTGGTTGAAAGATTAGCTATGAATTGACCATTGTTAAAGCTGAGTGATAAGACCATGGGTGTTTCTTTTACTAGTCACTACATTTTTGCACATGATTGAGATCTGCTATAATAAGAAATTAATGTCCACATCTCTACTATCTATAGTAAGAAATACAGACTACTCTCAAAAGAAAGTCTCCTATCAATTTTACTAATTTTTTTCCAAAGTTTTTTTTTTTTTTTAAATCTGGATAGTGGGATTTTTAATATATTTACATAATGCAAGAAAGGTAACATGCATTATTCACTGTATATGCATTCTTTAGATAGTTATCTCATTACTTTTTCTTCCCTAGATACTTTAAGTTTCTGCATTCAGCTAAGACCATTCCCATCTCTGGAAAGTTGGCCTGGCTTTTCTGGTGCCAAAAAAATTTGGCAATATTTAGACACCTGGGTGAAGCTTGGGGCCTGTGTACCAGGGGAGGGTGGCATGGTTGAGAGTTCAAATGAGGTCTCATTGTAAAGGAGACCTTTGGCAAGAACACTTGTGTAGAAATAAAAGTAAGCCGATTTGTACATAAAGTGGAGATGAATAAGGAAGGGATACTCTAGTATTCCAAATCAAGCATATGTCACTTGTGTTTTAGACATGAGTACCTCCTCCAAGTTCTGTTTAAGTGATTCAAATTTGGTAATTGTGTGACGTTAGTAATCTTTTTTTTTTTTCTTTGAGACGCAGTCTCACTCTTGTCACCCAGGCTGGAGTGCAGTGGCGCGATCTCGGCTCACTGAAAGCTCTGCCTCCCTGGTTCACGCCATTCTCCTGCCTCAGCCTCCCGAGTAGCCGGGACTACAGGCGCCTGCCACCACGCCCGGCTAATTTTTTGTATTTTTAGTAGAGACGGGGTTTCACCGTGTTAGCCAGGATGGTCTTGATCCTGAACTCAGTGCAAGCAGACATTGTCAACAGAGCATTGCAAATGCCAGTCTTGTCTAGAGTATTGACCACACAAACTAGAACCTATAGCACCACCACCCTACTACCCCCATGGCAGTGTGACAACCAAATATATCTCCAGACACTACCAAATATCCTTTCAAGAGTATTGAAAACCACTGGTTTACAGCAATAAGCTTTCAAATATGACCCAAACTTGGCTCTTCCATTCAAAGCAACTGAGCTTTCTAAAATATAAACATGATTATACCATTCCACTGTTTAAAACCCCTCAATGCTCCCCACAGTACTCAGGATAAAGTCAAATTTCTCAGCTTGACATTCAAAGTCCTTAATGACCTGCTCATCTCTCCAGCTTCATCTCTCAACACAAGCCCACTTAACACCCTCTAGTCCCGCCATACCGATTTATCTGGTCAGTTAAATTAAGAAGCTACACTCCCATCACCTGCAAGCCTCTCTCCATGTTCTTTTTTCTCCCTGCAAGTGTCCACTCCATTCCATGTTCCTATCTTGATCTGATTAGCTCTTCAGATCACCTAAATTGTCTTCTTTGAAATATCATCTTTGATATGCCTAAAATAGACTTTGGTGTGCCCACAGCATCTCTTATATGCCGCTATAGCATCCGGTACTACTGTATCACAGCATTATTCACTGTATATTAACTGTTACCTTTTTTGTCTCTCTAGTAATTTCCCTGAGAGAAGAACTGTATCTTATCTTCATATTCCCATTGCCTAGTACAATTCCAAGCATATACTTAGTGTACACTTACTATAGGTTGAATGAAAAAGAACTGAGGAGTTACATGTTTATACAGGGTAACTATGGGGAGGGATGCAATCAGAGAGATTACAGCAAGAAAAAGAAGCCCGAGGGAAGAGCCCTGAAGAATACTGACATTTAAAGACTAGAAAGAACTCCAGAGACCATAAAAATGTACCAGAAATAGGAGAAAAACGAAAAGCATTATGTAACAAAAATTAAGGGAAGCAACCATGTTTGTCTAAGACTTGGCAATTAGCACAATGCCTGGCATATAGAAGATGCATATAATTGCTGTAAATTGTTGAATTTAAATAAAGGAAATCATAAATATATATATGTTGCCCAGGCTGGAGTGCAGTGGCACGATCTCAGCTCACTGCGACCTCTGCTTTCTGGGTTCAAGTGATTCTCCTGCCTCAGCCTCCCAAGTAGTTGGGATTACAGGCACCCGCCACCACGCCTGGCTAATTTTTTATTTCTAGTAGAGACAGGGTTTCACCATGTTGGCAAGGCTTGTCTTGAACTCCTGACCTCGTGATCCACCCGCCTTGGCCTCCCAAAGTGCTGGGATTACAGAGTGAGCCACTGCGCTTGGCCAGGAAATAATATTTTAATAATAGAGCTGTCAGAAGTGTTAAATGCTGCAAAAAAGTTAAGTGACATAAAGGCTAAAATTTGTCTATGGTGAGCGTGGTAGCAATAATTTCTTTCTTTAAGCTACTTCTATTTGTCAAAAGCAATTATTTGAATAGGATGGAGGTGAAACTAAGATTGAAAAGAGCTAATGGTGGGGGAGGGGGAGGGGTGATGACAGCTAAAGAAGCTTTTCAAGAGATGGCATGAGGGAGAATGTGGACAACATATTTTACAATGGGAAATGAACATGTTTTACAATGGGAAATGAACATTCATGAATGGAAGAGACAAGCAGAAAAAGAGGTTAAAAATATGGAAAGGGAAATGACTGGAGGACTATGGTTCCAAAAAAGGATAGGGCCGTTAGCCCCAAATAGGATAAAGGGGATTTCCTCCCTTGATTAAAAAAAAAAAGAGGAGGAGGAAGGAAGACACTGAGTTTGAAGGCAGAGGACATGAAATTTAATAGAGTTTCCTCTTGATGACTTCATTTCCCGTATGAAGGTATTATCACCTGCTAAGAGTGAAAGAAAAGGTAGTAAACAAAGGGAAATAAGAAGAAAGAAGTTGATCAAAAATAATTGCTGTAGAGAGCTGACTTAAAAACAGAAAACATGTTATCCAGCAAAATGGGGCTAGTGTTTTTTGAGGGGCATCAATTTCTGTGATTCCCAAGAAATGCTCAATAGGTCAGATTTGAAAGGGAAAATAGGTAGAGAATGGAAATGATCAAAGTTGGCTTTGGTCTAGTGTGTGCGCTGGGAGGACAAGAGACAATAATGGCAAAAAAGAAGATGAAGGGCGAGCAAGGGTCTAAGTTTCTTAGAAAAGAAAATTAAAACAGAGAACCAATAAAGGGGAAAGAGATGATCAGAAGTACTGACAGTTTCAATCATGTCAGAGAGCAATGGAAATAAAAACATGAATGATCTGAAAAGAAGGCTGGAGACAAATGTGATCTACCACAAATGTGACATATTTAATTTTTAAATGTTTAGACTTAAAATGTATCTGAAAGAATAGACAGAATATTCAGGAAAATTGTGAAAAAAGAATAGGAAGGAAGACATACCCTACCAACATTAACAAATAATCAGAAGCTTCTACTACTTGCAACAGCTTAGTGTTGGTTCAAAATAGATCAATGGAACAGAGAACAGAAGTAGAAATGAGAATCTAATAGCTGATACCAGAAGAATTTCAAAATCAACGAGGAAAGCAAATTAAGAAATGAGGTTAGCAGCTGGCTAGCCACTTGGAAACAGATAAAAAATGTATCCACACTTCTCTGTTTATACTAATACAAATTTCAAAAGAATACCAAATTTAATGCAAAATAATTATAGTAAAGATTTCATAGTTGGAAGTTTCCAGAGAAGCAAAATTTGAGAATGTGGTATAAGAGGCTGAAATGGAATGAAGACAAAGGTCACCAGAATGGAGAAGAAACTCTCCACCTAGGGTTACGGTCTGAGGTGTCTACAAAGTCCCGAAGAGGCTGTGGTCTGCAAAGTTACCCTACTAAAAATACCTGATTGACTCCAGCTAATTCTGAAATGTACTATGTGCATTTCATTCTAAAAGTTAGACATCCCAAATGGAAAACACAGAGTCCTGACTCAGCCAGATACCTGAGGTTAAATTATCAATCTTCTCTGATAGTATCCACATGCACTTTGGAATTTGAAACACACTGCAGGGATTCTCCTCTAGACCTAGGTGGTTAAGCCCTCCGTTACCTGAATTGCTGACTTAAATTTTTATGTTGTTAAATCTTAACTGCACTAATCTGATCAATCTCCTTAACTTGCAGATTTATACTTACAAAGTTGCCAATCATTTTTATTTCCTATATTCAATTTGACATCATTATAATTTCAATGCTATAATAGTTCTCTCGATAGCAAGGAAGTTCTCTTGATAGCAAGGAATCGATGCCATTGATAATAATATACTTCTGGTTCCCATCATCTTGGTTTCTGTTTATTGATTTCAATACATACTCTATATCTGATTCCTTATTAGATAAACCTTATTAATTTTGCTACCATCCCCAAATGAACCATTACCTCTTCTTGCTCTTCTTCATCATATTCCTCCTGTTCTGCGGCATCATCGTCATCGTCATCATCACCTTCTTTACTTTTCTCTTTGCTTCCTTCTTTCTCTTCATTTTCCTCATCTGATTTTTCACCATCACCTCTTTTTTCCAATTCCTGGTATAAGTGAGTTTCATTAATTTGTATGGAAACCACTAGACTGCTGACTTCCCTGCTTAGCCTTAAGGGAACAGTTATCTATCACCTTATTCTACTCCCATCTTACCACCACCTCCTGGCTACCACCTAGGAAACTATGAGTCAACTCAAGAAAGAAGGAATTTACTGTCTCACCACTAAACCAGCATTTTCTTTGATTTTGTTACTTAATAATTGGGTTTCAGATTAATATTGGGCTTATCAGCTCTAATGCACAATGCTTTATTTTTTATAATTTATCTCCTACCTTCTTTTTTGAGAGAAAGTCTCGCTCTGTCACCCAGGCTGGAGTGCAGTGCCACGATCTCGGCTCACAGCAACCTCCTTCTCCTGGGTTCAAGTGATTCTCCTGCTTGAGCTTCCTGCGTAGCTGGGACTACAGGTGCATACCACCAAGCCTGGCTAATTTTTTTAGTAGAGACAGGGTTTCTCCATGTTGGCTATGCTGGTCTCAAACTGCTGGTCTCAAGAGATCTGCCCACCTTAGCCTCCCAAAGTGCTGGGATTACAGGCATGAGCCACAGTACCTGGTGGTCTATCTTACCTCCTTCTAAAATATTTGAGGTGACTTAGTTTATGGAGAACTTTTAGAATGTTATTTTGTTTTCCTTCTAACATAAAAGGGGAAAAATAAGGTAATAGTATTATCTCAAAATGTCTATGTTTCACTTTATACATGAGGCCATTTAATACTATTATTATAATAGCAAGTCATCCTGGGTTAGATTATCCTAGTTGCATTTTATCTGTGTCTTTATCTTTTTTCTCTCTCATTATTTACTTCCTGTTGCCAGGAATTCTTGTTTCTTAATATATCTGGCAGATTGAGAAGAAAGAGAGAAATTAAAACTCAAATCACAGTCAATACTAGCAATTATTAGGAATTCTAAAAGAGAAGACAAAAGAGAGATGCAGAGTTAGGAAAGCTTTGATTCCATGAGAGTCCCACTTATCCACAAGTGGAACCATCAGGGAATAGTACACAAAATTAACTTTAAAATTACATCTTTGTATTTCTATTATGACTACCAACAATTTTTTTCATTTAATAAAAAGTGACTTATTTTCATTACTGTCACTATCTGTTCACTAAATTGTACTATGCTCAATTTGCACATATGATAGAATTTCACAAGTTTTCCAGGAGTCAATAATTTCACATATTAATACGCATAATTAAGGCATAAGTCACCTCAGCTAAAATGTGATTATTCCTAAACAGAAATTGGAATACTAATGCATGAATCTGCAAACACTCCATCTCTATTATAAGGTATTTGCTTTGTAGATTACATATAGAGAGAAAGCAGATTTTATATCTGGAGTAACTACAACTTAGCTATTCCTTTACTGGTTCTTAAACGCTTATCTTTAAAAATCCTTGTAATTAAATTCAAATTTGAATTTAAGGAAATCAAAGACAACAGAGAGACTACATTAGATAGGCTCAATTTCTAATCAAAATTCAAACTCCACCTTTCCTGTCTGCTTAACCCACTCAGGCAGAACAAATAAGACCAAGGTAACAGACATAAGATGATTTATCTTGATACTGACTCATATGTTGTCTTATATGAGTTATTACTACAATATGATGTGTGCAATTTTTCCAACTGGCAATCCCTTTGGAAAAGTGCAAGTAAAGAAAATCGTGCTTATGGATCTTTTGCAGCATCTATAATAAGATATACACACACATATTTGATGGTATGTTAATATTATATTTTTTTACTATTTTAATCAGATCACAGTAAAAAGACCTGCAACCAATAAGTTGTATAGTTAATAGGAAATTGTAGTGCCATATTTATTTAGCTCTGTGCAGGGTACACACTATATCTAAAAAACATGCTATTATTTTATTTTTATAATTAAGAACACAGTTATTTAAACCAGTTATGTAAAAGTACTTTTTTTTTTTTTGAGATGGGAGTCTTGCTCTGTCACCCAGGCTGGAGGGCAGTGGTACGATCTCGGCTCACTGCAAGCTCCACCTCCCAGGTTCACATCATTCTCCTGCCTCAGCCTCCCGAGTAACTGGGACTACAGGCGCCTGCTACCACGCCCAGCTAATTTTTTTTGAATTTTTAGTAGAGATGGGGTTTCACTGTGTTAGCCAGGATGGTCTCGATCTCCTGACCTCATGATCCACCCGCCTCGGCCTCCCAAAGTGCTGAGATTACAGGCGTGAGCCACGGCGCCTGGCCAAAAGTACTTTTTAAATACAGTATTCATTCAGTGCCACATAGGAACCAGGAAGTCTCTATTTCTATTATTGCTACCTCAAATACCTTTAAAAAAAAAAATCCTCATCTTTATTTCCACCACACAGATCTAAATCAGACTCATAAAATAGGTTAAAAGTAGATTTATGCAACTTTTTAATAAAAATTGATCTCAAAGCCACATATATTGTCTCATTGCTTCATTCCTTTTGCATTAAGCTACTAGTTTCAGCTCTTCTACTTACTAGTCTCCATTTTCTCTCCTGTTGAGATTTAACCATCTAACTTTACTACTTTACAGATTTAAGAATAAAATGAATAATATAAAGATACTGAAAACAGTGTTCAATTATGGACAGAGAGCAGTTCTTCTGGTTTAAATATTATACAGCCTTACAGCCACCATACAGAGCCTCCTGTTATGCAGAAATAAGAAACCTCAGATATTAGTTTACCACTAATTACTCACACATTAATCATGAGATTTGAATGTATGTCACTCCCTCTCCATCCACGAATGCTCTATTATAAAAAAAACTTGGAACTGCTTTTGCTGAAAAAATCAGCAATAAGAAAGTCATCTGGGAACAACTTTTGCTCTTCTAAACTCATTGGTATTTCTAGATTTAAATTTCCAGTTTTTCCAGTGTGTGTCCTGAAAATTGTGTTTAAATGTAGACAATATGGAAACACAGTTTGTTACACGGAGAAACCCAGAGGTCCAGATCAATCTTCCTTACGGCACATGTCATCTTAGCAAGTTTTCTCCAGGAAGCTTTTAGAATAGCCAGAACCTGAGTTCAGTCAATACAAACTGGCTAGAACTGCATTCCCATCATTCCGCCATAGTTAAACCTGACAGTTATCACTGCTCCTTCATCAGTACTCTGGCTTTATTTTTCAGACATGTTGTCTCTAACTCCAGTACTGGTCAAATAATAAAATAAAAATATGAGTTTCCACTACCAAATAGCTGTGCCAACTTGGCCAGGCAAGTAAAAATTTTAAAGCCTTGACTTCCTCATCTGTAAAGAAGGAATAATATCCACCTCTCCTTGTTGTTATGAACTCTTATGGACATAACATATGTAAAGAGCTCATCAAGGAGGCTGGCACAGAATAAGTTTCAATAAAGTGTTAGCTGTTACTGTCATCATCATCATCACCAAGGCAAGACAATGCATGCATTGATAACGGTAGTAAATTGGTATAACCTCCATAAAGAGCAATGTAACAATAGCTATCCATTTCATACAGTGCACATTTATGTACTGACCAAATACTTCTAGAAATCTACCCTACACAGGTGAAATGACATACTTAACATGAATTCATTGCAGCATTGTTAATAACAGCAAAACACTAGATGAAACATAATGTCCATATATCCAATTATGTAGGATATTAATTAAATAAATTACAGTTCATTTTTATAGTGCAGCCAAAAAAAAAAAAAGAAGGATGAGGTAACTCTACACAGACTTATATGGAACCACATCCAAGGTATTCAGTTAAGTGATAAAATGAAAACGCAGAATGTAATATGCTATCTCTGTCTTTAAAAAGAAAAAGAAACCTCGTATTTGCTATGTATGAAATACTTCTGAAAAAAGACATAAGAAACTAGTAACATTGGTTGTCTATAGGAAGGGAACTGGATGACTAGGGACAGGAATAGGAGGGAAAATTTTCAGTGTTTTAAACTTCTGAATCTTACATTTTTTATTTTTGAAAAATTAAATTTTTAAAATTTTCAGTGCTTTAACCTTCTGAATCTACATTTTTTTATTTTTGAAATATTTAGATAAAGAAAGCTATAAAAATAAGTTCTATAAAATACATTTTTCCCTCAAGAGTCTTCAATACTTAAGACCAAAAAAAAAGCATTAAAACTGTACATATTAACCAACAGGAGGAAAAATGAGAGGTTTTTAAAAGAGTTACATATGTAACTCTTTTTAAAACTTGTTCATGTTTCTCTCTGCCTGCATGATTCAAATATAAGCGGAAAGGGGGATACAGTGAAAAAGAAAGAGGTGACAGAAGGTGAGGTAAGTGGCCAGGTGAGTGGTAACGAAGGACAGGACAGACCCTCCATATCTCCCAGCCTGCAAAGTTCAAACCTTCCCAGTTACCTTATATGTTGGGCTCGCTTCTGCCAAATTTACATTATTAAAAAGTAAGAGAATGCTGAAAGGTTGAAACAGAGCAAAACGAGGTAGGATCTTTTACATTTTTTCAGTTCACTTGTATAGTAAGAAGAAAACCTTACCTCCATTTTTTTCAACACATCTTCAGTATTAGTGAGTGGTGTGCCTTTGCCTGCGTCTTTTGCCTTTTTGGGTTTTGGGCCTGCTGAAGTAAAACTACCAGTTAACACATTTTTCTGCAACTGCAACTCTGTATTATATTTCCTTGTCTTTGCGTATGCTGTCCAGCATCGTGCTACTGCATCCTAGGCAGTCACATAGTTTTCAGAGTAAATTAATTTTCTCAAAGAATAAACAAATCATACCTCACCAATTTTCCAATGATGATGAATAAATGATAATCACGTAGTAGGATTTTTTTTTTTAAGACTGAAGTTAACTATATTTTTTACTAGTTCTGAACATTGGTACTGGCAATTAATATCATTAGGGCCAAAACTGCTAAAATGTTGCCTCAGATAGAGAAGTACCAAGAGTATAGTGAAAGGCTCCCACAAATCCACCTGCACTGGCTTCTCCTTCACTGGTAAGTGTACTTCATTTTAACCAGAGGAATCTTAGCAGGTGTGTAAAATAAAAAGGAAGTGCAGGATAAATATTCCTTTCAGCTTTAAAGTCAACTACAGATTTGTGATCCTCTAGGACATGACTGGTATCATTCATGCACATGTATTTTATTATGAAAATATTTGCCCAATAAAAACCAATGGTATAAAAGACAGAAGATAAACTGCCATATCTCAAAATTCTGCATTCAAGCTAATTATGATTATATACTGTATCTTTAAAATAAAATAAAAATACTTCTGCCTTAAATATATATGTGCAAAAAATGTAAAGTGTCTGTACTTCAAATATGTTCATTTACCAATGGTGAAAGAGATGACAGTGCAACACAGAAGTATCTTTGGAATAAAGATTAAAATAAACTGAATATACTCATCATATGAATCTGAAAACTCAAAAGCATGTAAGTGAAATAAAATGTTGTAATGGCTTTGGGCTACATAATTATTTTTTTTACTCCTATCAAAAATATTGCATTTTGAGGCTATTCTGAAAGTGCAGGGTCTAGAGAAGTATTTCACATATAAATTCTGCCAGTCAGTTACCGAAGCAATATGATAGGCTACAAAATTGTCCCATTGTGGTCAAAGAGTATTACAGCTCTTTTCCAAAATAAAGCTAAACACTTAGAAATTACTTTGTAAGAGGAAAATGTGGCTCAGAAAGATGTAATTTTGTTAAAGATTAACATTTAACCTACAAAAGAAAATTTTTAGATTGTGGTAGATGACCCATAACTGATGGAATTACAATTTACTGTGTTATACTGAATTGCCCCTTGGGGAATTACTGAGCTCAGAGCTCCCAAACATATGTATTAGTGAGGTTTCTCAAACAAAAGTAATAGTTAGATTTAATGATGGGTAACTTTCTCTGACCCCCTCGAGGGCAAAGACTGTTTAATATGAACTGTAACACATAAAATATAGCATCACATATGAACAAGATCTCAATAAATTATTATAATATTAATGCCAAAAAACATTAGCTAAGAATGTATTCTACTTACATCATGAAGTCTTTTTCTAAGAACTTTTTATCAAATTATTTAATTTCATAACATAAACCTTTGTTGAAGGGATACTAGAGAATATGGCCAGGTAAGTAAACTTATTTTTTTTTTCCATCTTTGGCCAAGTATCTGCATATATTTGAATAGTTTCTTTTAACACATGGCAGTAGCTGGTTCTTCAAGAAACAACTGTTTTCAGCCTTTGACTCTGTTGTTACTGTTTACTTCCATGTAAATTAATGGAGGACATCTTAACATAAAGGACAGTACAAGCTTATCAGAAACAAGACATAAAAATTACACAATATGTAATAAAAAATACTAGAGCAAAATGAGAAAGTTTCATTGTTGCTTTGTTTATTAACAAATGGAAATCCTGACACTTTGGGAGCTTTTACTGATTAATGTGGGTATAAAATCCCAGGGATAACATATTTGAAAACATTAACTCTTCCAAAATGAACACATTTTTCTCAGCTTTAAAGTCAACTACAGATGTGTGATCCTCTAGGACATGACCAGTATCATTCATGCACATGTATTTTATTATGAAAATAATATATTTGCCCAATAAAAACCAACGGTATAAAAGACAGAAGATAAATTGTCATATTTCAAAATATTCTTTATGCAAGCTAAATATGATTATATACTGTATCTTTAAAATAAAATAAAAATACTCTGCCTTAAATACACATGTGCAAAAAATGTAAATTGTGTATGTACTTCAAATATGTGCATTGTATTGTATGTCAATTATATCTCAATAAAGGTGTTAAAACGGGGAATAGGAATTCCTTCTCTTCTCTTCTCTTAGTTGATAACCCCACTGTTCTTAACCTCTCTGACTACCTTCCTTTTTCACTCTTCATTCTTCATAGCAAAATTCTAAGAAGACTCATCTATGCTAGCTGTCTCCATTTCCTAAGCTCCATTTACCGGTTAAGCCATTCCAATCTGGATTCTACCTCAGTGAATCTTTCAAAAAGCTCTCACTGAGGTCACAATAACCAACATGTCAAAAACGAGTGAACATTTTCCAGTCTTCGTCCTATCTGACCTCTTAGCAGCAATGTCTAACATCTTTTAACATTGTTGACCACCTTCCGAAATACCAGACTACCTTGTGTAACTCTGCTCTCCTGGTTCTCCTCCTCCCTCTCTCTTTCCAGTTCCCTTCTTTGCCATTCAATCTCCTCTACCAGCCCATTAAATGTTGGCATTCCTGTAAGCTCAGGGTTAGGCTCTCCTTTCTTCTAATTATCTAATTCTGCCCTAGACCATCTCATCCTTTCTCTTGGTCTCAATGATCATATCTCTGATAATGACTGCTATCTCCATTTTGAGGTCCATTCCCCTGTATCCAAGAATATATTTAACATTTATATTTGTATATTTCAAAGGAACCATAAGTAACATCTTTGAACTGAACTTCTGATTTTCTCTCACAAACCTGGTATTTCCCTACTTCCTCTCCCACAACTATGTCTCAGTAAACTCCTATTCATCCTTCAATCTCAACTCCAATTCCATGTCCTCAAAGAACCCTTCCCAATGAGGACAGTGTGTTTTTCTTTAGTGATTTTACCCCATTTGACTACAAGCTCCATGAGGACAAGGATTATTCCCACTTTGCTCAGTTTTATTCCTGTCAGCACAATGTCTGGCAATAATAGATAACTATTTACTGAATGAAATTACTAAAGAAAAACAAACTGTAAACATTCACTTTGGCATTCTTCTATACAACATAAAGCTCCATTTTATTGGTTTCCCAATTTTAAAATGTTTTAGTTAATAATTTATAATGTAGCCAGTATAATAAAAAATCTGCAGTTATGCAAATGAAAAGGTCTACAATAATTGAAAAGTCTTTCTTAGCAGCTCCACAATTCCATAACTAAAGGAAAATCCTAAGTGAATAAATGCAGGAACAGAAAACCAAATATTGCATGTTCTCACTTATAAGTGGGCGCTAAACACTGAGCACACATGGACATAAACATGGGAACAACAGACACAGTGAACTACTAAAGTCGGGAGGGGAGGACGGGGTGGAGTGAGTTAACAAACTACCTATTAGGTAGTACACTCACTACCTGAGTGCAATATACCAATGTAACAAACCTGCACATGTACCCCTGTATCTAAAATAAACACAGAAATTTAAAAAAAGATAAAACATTTAAAAATTAAAAAATAAGACATACACAAAGAAAAGGCAACAACTAAGAAAAAAAACACCCAAAAGACAAACAACAAAAAACAAGCTTTAGCAAAATAGTTATAATGCATATATATACACACACACACACATACATGGGGGGACAGAGAGAGGGAGAGAGTCAGTGTCCTAGACAGAGTGTCAGGGTCTTGCTCTGTCTTCCAGGCTTAAGTGCAGTGGTGCAGTTTAGGCTAATTGCAGCCTCTGCCTCTTTGGCTCAAGTGATCCTCCCACCTTAGACCCCCAAGTAGCTGGGACTACAGGTGCATGCCACCACACTTGGCTAATACTTGTTTTAACTTTTTGTAGAGACAAGTTCTCACTATGTTGCCCAGGCTGGTCTCAAACTCCTGGGCTCAAGTGATCCTCCCACCTCAGCCTCCCGAAATGCTGAGATTACAGGCATGAGATCCCTTGTCTGGCTCAAAATAAGAAAAGCATTAAGAACAGTGAGTATAACTTTGGGTTGACAAATCCATATTAACAGAATGTAAGAAATAACCTTTTCCTACCTGAATTACTATTATATTAGTCAATGTACCTTTTTTACATTTATTTCTTGGCATCATCTCTCTTGGAAGTCTTCTCCAATCTGTACATAAAATAAAAAATAAAAAATTGCAGTTTCCTCTAGGAATTTGTGGCATTGAACATAACTATTTGAAGGACACAACAGTTGTCCAGAAAATGACAATAAAGTGCCTTAGTATCTGACTTTACAAATTTAGCTTGAAACATATAAAAACCAAATCCAAATATTACAGACAATGATATATTTTCTCCTATAAAGAAAATTTATTACAATAGCTCTGAAATAGTGCTATAAAATTTTTGGTGAAGGAAACCTTATGGTAATTATTTGTGGGTGTTGGAATTATGACAGTTTTTCTTAAGTATTATTTATATTTATTTGACCACTTTATATTTCATAAGTTTTCTGTAGTTGATATATTCTGTAGTTGATATATTTCTTATGCAACAAATTTTTTTTTTCAAAAGGATGTTACCATAATCCCAAAACATGCAAAATGAAATAAACAATTGTAATATCTGAAAACTTTAAAATTAAAAATATAAATAGCTGTCAAAAACAAATCTCCTCCAATAAATAATTTTGCTTGTATTAGCTAAATAATTCCTCTAATGTGTCACTTTCTTTTAATTTTTAAGCATAGAGTTAAACAGGAAATGGAAGCAACATAAAAGTTGATTTAAAAATATTGCCTGCTTTTAAAGAAAATTTGGAGCATTTTTACAAAGCATTTAAATCTCAAGTCATTTTACCTGAAAAATAAATTTTGCTTTGAATATATTTTAGTTTTTATAAGCTATTCATTTTAGATCATGACGGAATATGTAGAGAATCATTTGAGAGATGAATACTAATGAAACGGAAGAAATGAGAGACCTAAGTTGTTTCCAGGGTGCCCCAACCTTACCAACACTGAAAAGATAGTACTATAATCTGTGAAAATGATAAGGCTGTTAATGCCATCTATGTTTTTACATAAGGGGAGTTTCCATAAAAGACCAAGGACAGAGACATAAAAAGAATGTGAATTAAAATGAGAAGACCTGGGTTCTAACAGTATTGGCCACATGGCCTGACAGGTCACTTTATTTCTATGACAACTGTTTTTATTTGCAAAATGAATGAGTGGGATGAGATCTCCTTTACAGACCCTTCTAACTTGTCCATACCCAAGGTAAAGCTTCTTTTTGGATATGGTTCTTTTGAAGAAGCCTAACAACTAAAACTAGTCTATGTCTGCTTAAAAGAAAGGAAGATCCATGAGCTTGGCTTAAAATATCTTTAAAACGAGATTTTTGCTTTCTCTTCAAATGCTCTAAAATTGCTCAGGAGCATAGTATTTGTGCTTTCTGGTATTACAAATTAAAATTGTGATTGTGGCTAATTAAATTGGAAAATTCAAAGGGTTTGTTTGGCCTGTCCTATTTTTGTAAAAAATGTATATTAAGGGTGGGGGGTGTTGGCTCATGCCTGTAATCCCAGCACTTTGGGAGGCTGAGGCGGGCGGATCATGAGGTCAGATCAAGACCATTCTGGCGAACACGGTGAAACTCCGTCTCTACTAAAAATACAAAAAATTAGCTGGGCATGGTGGCGGGGGCCTGTAGTCCCAGCTACTCGGGAGGCTGAGGCAGGAGAATGGCATGATCCCTGGAGGTGGAGCTTGCAATGAGCCGATATCGTGCCACTGCACTCCAGCCTGGGCGACAGAGCAAGACTCCATCTCAAAAAAATAAATAAAATAAAATAAAATATACATATATATATATTTTAAGAACTTCCACAAAAGCACTTCAACTCTTCCTTGTTTTAGCATAAAAATCTTTTCACCTTAGTTTCTAACAGATTACTAATTAATCACAATAAAAGAACCAGACTCAGTTTTCCTATGGTAAAAATAGAAAACTTATTCTAAAAAAAAAACATGAGGTGAGAGAGACAGCCTTTAAAAACTGTTTTCATATTGTGTGTTTTGTAGTTACCTGGTATCCATTCTTCCTTGTATACCTTCATGTATCTTTTACTATACCTTTCAATATCTAGGGGAAAAAAGAATAAAGAACTCATTAGGAAAATCAACAGTAACCCTGAACTTAAGCCATTCCTTTAAGATTATTGAAAACAACAGACAACATTTTTAATTTTACATACAGGGAGTTTCCCACCTTTGTACATAAGAGAATGGGAAAAAGGGTAGGGGTAGGCAAGGATGGACTTGGTGAGGGGTTACTGATCTGAGGCATAAATGAGCAAGCTGCAAGCCCTACATGCCAATTGCTGAAAACTCTGCAGGAACCCTCTGAGCTTGCCAAAACCAGTAAAGCCATAACTGCGGCTCTTGATTCAGACTAGTCCACCTTATCACAAGAAACACCCTTAAGGAGGGCACAAACTCTTTTCCAGCAGCACAAGTTGGAAAGCAACACTATCACACAAAAGCTTGAAGCCATGTTCATCATAAAAAGTAGTTCAGGAGTTAGGCATGAAAAAGGGAAGGTAATACTAAAGATGAATGGATAAAAATCAAGGACCAAATATATACTGATTTTTCTTCTATGTCAAGTATATGCTTCCAAATAATACAACCACGTATTAGAGAAAGATAACCAAAATAAGTAGTAGATCAGAGACCAAGAGATCAGGTTTTTCTAGGTATTTTAACTGTTTGACTTCAGGTAAAATGTTTTAACTAATCTTGCCAAGTTTTTAATCTATAAAACGAAGTCAGCACAAATGAGAGATTCCTAGAATTTGTAACACAATGACTTCTTTTTAAGAATTTTCTCCAAAACAGTTTCCATATTTTAAATAATTTTAACCCTCAGTATACCGGAAAAAAACAGTTTTTACCCTTTTTCTCTGGGTACAGTAGACCACTTTTTATATTTTAAAATATTTTTAAGTTAATTTCAAATAATGAAATACAGAGAATAAATAAAAAAGATAACAGATAAAAGAACAGATATTGAAAACCAATTATTGGAACCCAATTAAAAAGAGGTAAAGGATTTGAATAGACAATTCTCTAAAGAAGATACAAAAATGGACAAAAAGCATGAAAAGATGTCCAACATCACCAATCATTACGGAAATTCAAATCAAAACCACAATGAGATACTGTGTTACAACCACTAGGATGGCTAGAATAAAAAAAAAATAAGAAATGTTGGCAAGGATATGGAAAAATTGGAACTCTCATACATTATTGATGGGAATGTAAAATCGGGTGGCCACTTTAGAAAACTGTTTGGCAGTTCCTCAAAATGTGAAATACAGAGTTACCATATGATCCTATGTATATACCCAATATAAATGAAAACATGTCTTCACATAAAACATGTACATGAATGTTTATGACAAGATAACTCATGTAATCCCAAAAGTGAACTGACCCAAATGCCCATCAAGTGATGAGTGGATAAACAAAATGTGGCATATATCCATACAGTGGAATATTATTCAGCCATAAAAAGGAATGAAGCACTCATATGTACTAAGCCATGAATGAACCTTGAAAACATTATGGCAAGTGAAAGAAGCCAAAGACACATGTTACATCATTCCATTTATATGACATGGAATCTCTAGAGACAGAAAGCAGATTTCTGGTGCCATGGGTTGGAAGGAGGGAGAGTAGGGAATGACTACTAAAGGGTACAGAATTTCTTTTCTAGATGATGAAAAGCATCTAAAAAATTAGATAGTGGCTGGGCACAGTGGCTCACACCTGTAATCCCAGCACTTTGAGAGGCTGGGGCAGGTAGATTGCTAATAGGTCAGGAGTTCAAGACCAGCCGGGCCAACATGGTGAAACCCCATCTATACTAAAAACACAAAAAAATTAGCCATGTGTGGTGGCACGTGCCTGTAATCCCAGCTACTTGGGAGACTGCGGCAAGAGAATCACTTGAATCCAGGAGGTGGAGGTTGCAGTGAACTGAGATAATGCCACTGCATTCCAGCCTGGGTAACAGAGCAAGACTCTTGTCTCAAAAAAAAAAAAAAAAAAAAAAAAAAAAAAAAAAAAAAAAAAAAAAAATTAAATAGTGGTGTTGATTGCACAACTCTGTGGCTATATTAAAAGTCACTGAATTGTACACTTTAAAAAGTAAATTTTATATAGTGGATTATGTCTCAGTAAAGCTGTTACTTAAAAATCAATAAAACTAGGCCCAACACAGTGGCTCAGGATGTAATCCCAGCACTTTGGGAGGCCAAGGCAGCTGGATCCCTTGAGTCCAGGAGTTCGAGACCAGCCTGAGCAACATGGTGAAACCCCCATCTCTACAAAAAATGCAAAAATTAGCTGGGCATGGTAGCTCATGCCAGTGGTTCCAGCTACTTGGGAGGCTACGGTGGGAGGATCACTTGAGCCTGGGAGGTGGAGGCTGCAGTGAGCTGAGATTATGCCACTGCATTCCAGCCTGGGTGACAGAACGAGATCCTGTCTCAAATAAAAATAAATAAATAAAGTTATTGGAGATTTTACTAAGCAATTAAGTATAGCAAATCCAAATTTATATTACATGTTTTACTGATTTTGAAGGTAAATTTAACCAAAATGGGCAAAGTCATTTGAATGCAGTTTTCTGTGCATCGGCTGCCACATACAAACCTAGAATATATGCCTTCTGTACGTCCTGATCCCAGATTCCAAAGACATCTTTAATAGGTTCTAACTTATAATTTCCTCTGGTTTTCTCATATGTGTATCATCTAAATAATTTCAGATTATAAATGCATTTCTAGTAGAATCTAGCTTATCACTACTTCCAATTCTTCTTCTTGTACTTACATATCCAAAATGCAATACTTTAAAAAACTTTGATGTCTCATACTTTTTTTTTTTTTTTTTGAGGCGGAGTCTTGCCCAGGCTGGAGTGCAGTGGCACAATCTCGGCTCACTCCCAGGTTGACTCCACTCTCCTGCCTCAGTCTCCCGAGTAGCTGGGAGTACAGGTGCCCTCTACCACGCCTGGCTAATTTTTTGTATTTTTAGTAGAGACGGGGTTTCACCATGTTAGCCAGGATGGTCTTGATCTCCTGACCTCGTGATCCACCTGCCTCAGACTCCCAAAGTGCTGGGATTACAGGGGTGAGCCACTGCGCCCGGCTGATGTCTCATACTTCTATTGAAGAGAGGATGGCCCAGCCATCTTCTTTGCTCTATACTTGCAAAATATTTTCATTATTAAATTTATAATCACCAGTTAACACAATCAATCCAGAAAACAATTTCATGTCTATATAATCAATTTCCTTTCAATCATTGTTGTCTTTGCCTTTATGTTCAGCATTTGTCAGTTACAAAACACATCAAATTAATTTTGGTGCACAAATATCATAGAACAAAAATGATCGTCTCATTTTAGCAAACAGGATGTTCCAGGTTTTTGTTACAAAGTATTACATGATGAGTTCTTTTTCAAAGATTGACTGTAGAAGGCCACCATAATTCCTTTTTAATTCTTGGAGATACAGTGTTTACTCATTGATTCTTGAATTTGAGAAAATTCATTGAAGACACTGTCATCTGAAGACTCACAGTCTGAGATTTTGCTTATACAATCAATTTCATCATCATCATGAGCATCCAGAGAGCTATCTATCTCTTTGCATTTGACTTCTGATTCGTCTAAGAATTGTGGAACATGTTTTTCTGTCAATTTTAGACATTATGAGCAAAAAATTAAAAATTTTTGAAATTTTCAATTGTATTAAATGAAAATTAAAACAGAGCAACTACAAACATAAGAGTCTCTGAAGACTTTATAACTTCTTAAAAAACAGATGTAATGCTTTGGACAACACCATAGGAAAACTATATGATGACATAATAGTGATAATTTATTTGAATTGCACAGTCAATTTCATCATTCTCCCATTTTTTAAATTTATTCTTTTTTTCAGCATAGTGGGGAATGTCTGATGAATAGTGATGAGATAATATGTATGATGATAAAGTAGCAAGGTATTTCAATATAGAGAAAAAATAAGATCACTCAGATTCCATAATTATTTTAGATATATAAAAGGGTCCAATGGGCTGATATGGTATTCTATGATAAAATGAGTTTTCCTTTTTAAGAAAATGTCTGTTTCTTCTTTAGAAAACCTCTATGCAAGAATAAAAGTTATCAATATTAATCATACAAACAATAAGAACTGCTCCAAAAAAAAAAAACGTCAAAAATTTATATTGGGTCTCATGGACACTGATGGTATATCAAGAATTAGTAAGCCAAATTCCATTTATTCAGTAACAGACCTGTGGATGTATTTAAGTAAATGTATAATTTCCATTAAGCTTTGAGGTTCTGAAAATGACTTATGACACTATCACCACTGTCAGAATCATGTTTCTACTTCAGAGGACCCTGTGGTTCAGGAACCTGAGCTGGGAACCACTAGACTAGACGATCTCTTATAGCTAAAATTCACTAAAATAATATTCATTGGTGTTTTTCCTTTATTATATAAATAACAAATTTCGATGCAAAGAAAATACTAATCATTTCTATAATCCTACCTGAAAACATTAAAAACAAACTTTGAAGACATCGCAACATGAAATATGTTCATTCCATGCCATCAGTTCTTGAGGACTGATCTCAATGCCCTGAGCCACCAGCCACTTGACTATCAGGAAGTCTTGAGATCTCTCACCCTATTTGTCTGTCCTAGTGTCTAGTGATTTAGTTCTTTACAGTAGCCCTTAAGTCTCTGTTTCCTAAAGCACACAGGTGGTAAGTGATGCACCTGGCGAAGGTACAGTCATGCAACATCTCTATCCGGAATATGATTCTCTCTGACAGTAGGGTCGTTCTCTTCAGTCTGGCCAATTCTTTTTCACTCATAGCATGGATATTATATAAATTTATGTATGCACATATATACACATATTATATAAACCTATATAGGCACATATAAATGTATATATTTTATAGAAAAACCTTTATTTTTAACATGCGTGTGTTTTTTAAACACTATATCAGGAAACAGAGGTAAGCTGGGTGCGGTGGCTCATGCCTGTAATTTCAGCACTTTGGAAGGCCGAGATGGGAGGATCACTTGAAGCCAGGAATGTGAGACCAGTGTGAGCAAAAAAGCAAGACTCCCGTCTCTACAAAAAAAAAAAAAAAAATTAAAAGTTAGCCGGGCATGGTGTGTGCGCCTGTAGTCCCAGCTACTCAAGAGGCTGAGGTGGGAGGATCACTTGAGCCCAGGAGTTTGGAAGCTGCAGTGAGTTATGATTGTCCCACTGCACTCCAGCCTGGGTGACAGAGCGAGACCTCATCTCCAAAATAAAATATAAAACAATAAAATAAAAAAAGACAGAAGTAAACATGAAGATCTCAGGGAGAATGTACTTGTATCAATTTGGAAATTTCTATACAAGAGTTTTCCCCTGAAAGAAATAAAAGCAAAAAAAAAAAAAAAACCCTTATATTTTGAAATACTTTATTGCATAGTTATCAAAGATAAAGTGCCCCTTAATCCAAGTACTAGCCAACCACTCCCATAGACCAACAACAAAATTATGTTTTTAATATCCCTGTCTAAAACACTCACATAAATGCTTTAATTATATGATATACTTTTTTTTTTTGAGACAGAGTCTCACTCTGTCACCCAGGCTGCAGTGCAGTGACATAATCTCAGTTCACTGCAACCTCCACCTCTCGGGTTCAAGCAATTCTCCTGCTTCAGCTTCCTGAGTAGCTGGGATTACAGGAATGCACCACCATGCCTGGCTAACTTTTGTATTTTTAATAGAGACAGGGTTTTCCCATGTTGGCCAGGCTGATCTCGAACTCCTGACCTCAGGTGATCTGCTTGCCTCAGCCTCCCAATGTGCTAGGATTACAAGAGTAAGCCACCGTGTCCAGTCTGATTTGACATACTTTTAAATTAGACATGTGCTTTAATAACAACCACATTCACCTAAGTGCATCTGTGTCATAGAGAAAAGATCAATTTTAAAAGCACTAAAGTATACCCTGCATTACTATTTTTTCTAATAAGAATGAATACTGATTAGTTCATTTGGTCTTACTTTTTAAAATCTTTAAAATGAAAAGTTTTATTTTAGAACTCAAACAGACGAAAGCATGCAACATCATCATGAGAGTTAAAAATTTCAGTATTAGGCCGGGCATGGTGGCTCACGTCTGTCTGTAATCCCAGCACTTTGGGTGGCTGAGATGGGCAGACCACTTGAGGTCAGGAGTTCAAGACCAGCCTAGCCAACATGGTGAAACATCTCTATTAAAAATACAAAAATTAGCCGGGCATGGTGCTGTGCGTCTGCAATTCCAGCTACTCAGGAGGCTGAGATGTGAGAATCACTTGAACCCAGGAAGCGGAGGTTGCAGTGAGCCGAGATTGTACCACTACACTCCAGCCTGGGTGACAAGAGTGAGACTCCATCCCATTTCCAAAAAAAAAAAAAAAAAATTAAGTATTTTTGAGATAAAATATTTCTTATCAAACCATTATATAACTTAAAGCAGCTATGTTTTGAGAATTAAATGAATTTGTCTAAAATGCTTCCTATAATTATAAGCACATGCTAAGATCATTACATAAGGCTTCCTTTTTTGACTCAGCCAATTCAAACTATTCTAGAGAGAGAGGAAAAATGGAATGCATTTTTAATACGAATGGAATGAGATGACACTACGAATTTCTCATGTTTTAATGATGTTGTTTTGAGAACTCAAAGATGATATCAGTCTCTCTAATCTCAACAATCAAGGGCAGAAAGTGAAAAATCAATATAGTACTGCTGTGCTAAACAGCTACTCAGGAATGGTTTCCTTTCCTATAAAACCACTTCCCACTTCTAGCCTGAGACTGTTGAGCCCTCTCCAACTATAATGTTTCCTTTCTTCCCTAAGCAGCACCAATGAATACATATTTTACATCATATCAAACACCTAAATGATAAACCAAACAAAATTAAGTCTCAAAAATTTTTTTAACCTAAATATTAAATAATCAGAGACATGCATAAAGGTTTATGTATAATGATAACAATCACGGCATTATATATACAAGCAAAAAACTGAAAATAATATTTAAAAAGCAGGAAATTAGTTACAGTTAATAATAATATATCCACAGAGTAGACTACCAGTCATTAAAAGTCATGTTTTCCAAGAATAATAAGGATATGTGAAAATGCTAATATGCTACTGAGTGAAAAAAGGAAGATACAAAGTAATGTGAATCTAATTTTGTAAAGAGAATATACATGCATAAGAAAAAATCTGGAATATATACTAAAATATTAATAGTGGTTCTCTAGACATAAGAATGGGTAATTTTTACTTTTTAAAATTTTCCTGTTTTTCATAATTTTCACTGAACATATAAAATTATAATGAAAGATATTTCTAAAAATAAAATATCAAAAAGTTTAAAGTATTTTTTCTGTTAAAGCAACATAAATAGCTTTTTCAAAGTAGTTGATAATTTTTTATTGAATCGAATCAATCAACATTAAATGATTATATATCTTGTGCTTAAACACTGTTTCATCTGTATACATTAAGCCACATAATCAAAGACTCCAATACAGTACCTTGTCTTTCTTCAGGTGTTTCAATAAAATAAGGCATTCTTTTCATTGTTTCTCTCAACTCCTGTTTCAAAGCCAGCATATATTCTTCACCTTCTCCTGTTTTCAGTGGCACTGGTTTATAATCTGTATCCTGTTTAAATTAAGAGACAAAGATTTTTTTCAAATCAATTATGTATTTTAATATCCCTTTTATCTGTATTATAGAAAACAGCAGTTTTATTGAAATACTATGTTTTACAGGCACTAAGTTTTACAACCAACTTAAAAGATGAACTTCTGTAGTCTATTTAACCTGTTAACCCATTTCCTACTTTGCTCTTCTATTAGAGGTAAGAAAGATGCGTAATTTTCCTATTGGCCCTGAAAACTACACCAATAATCATTTTGCCAAACAGTCTGTTGACCTATGTGATTATCTACTTTAAAAATTAAAGTACCAGGCCGTGCATGGTGGCTCACGCCTGTAATCCCAGCACTTTGGAAGGCCGAGGCAGGTGGATCACGAGGTCAGGAGATCGAGACCATCCTGGGTAACATGGTGAAACCCTGTCTCCATTAAAAATACAAAAAATTAGCCGGGCATGGTGGCGGGCACCTGTATTCCCAGCTACTCGGGAGGCTGAGGCAGGAGAATGGTGTGAACCCGGGAGGCGGAGCTTGCAGTGAGCCAAGATCGCGCCACTGTACTCCAGCCTGGGTGACAGAGCTAGAGTCCGTCTCACAAAAAAAAAAAAAAAAAAAAAAAAAAAAATTAATGTACCAAAAAAAAAAAGAAAAACTAAGGTACCCAAATGAGAGCAGCTGCTTTAGGTTCTTATTAACCTCAGCTAGTGGTGGTATTATTGGAAAAAAATAAATAAATAAAAAAGCAGCAGCTATCATTTAGTAAGTGGTTGCTATGACTACAATATACTCAATATCCAACATCCAGTATCTCATTGAAAGGGCTACCAATATTTATCCTTTTACAGTGAAGAAATTGAGAAGTGAATAAATGGCAAGATGGAGTTTGAAGCTGCATTTCAAGTTTTAAAAATTATACACACACATACATATACACAAATACGCGTTTGTATGTGTGTATATATTTACACAAATATGTTCATTAACAAGTGGATCTCCAGGGTACCTAGTAAAGACATTTCTGATTTCAGAGGATAAAGATAAGGTACATTTTCAAAATTTGATTAGGAATGTATACATTCATGCTGCAACTACTTATTGAGTACTCAACATGTTTAGACTATGGAGGATACCATGATAAATAAGTCAAAGTCCCTGCCCACAGGGAACTTACATTCTAGGAGAGCAACATACAACAAATTAGTAAACAAATGAGGTGACATACAATTTCACATAGTGACAAATGACATAAAAATAAATGAAGGTGGGTAAAGGAAAAATGACTGACAGTGCATGGAGGATGGAGGTGGAATCTATGCAGGGTGAGCATGCCTGGCCTCTTGGGGAGGTCACATTTGAGTAGAGATTGGGATAAAATCAGGGAGCCATCCATGCAAAGAGAAGAGATGGTTCCAGCAGAGAACCAGCAGGGCCAAAGGCCTGAGGACCCAAGGAGACCTGCGTAGCTGGGGAATGAGGACAGTGGTAGAAAAAGGGTCAGAGAGACATCAGAACGGAGAGATCGGGCAGAGCCTTTTACCCAGTAGTAAGGAATTTTAATTTTATTCCAAGTATAAAGAAATACTATGTACTAACATCCCCAGTGTTTAGAGGTAATCTCCTCACACATGGAAAAGAGCTTGTTTTTAAAAGCACTGTAAAGTGACATTATGCCAATACCTGAGATATTTGTCTTTGTTTTTATGCTGCGCTGAATATCAAAAAGGTAAAATACCAAGAGCAAAACGCAGAGACTCCTTGTGTGATACATCTAGATCCCTGGATACATTCTAAACTAAACATAAAGCGAAAACATTATATATTATGGAAATTAAGCTTGCAGCATACTCACTAAATTTTAAAACAACACTAAAATAAGCAAAAAAAGTTCAGTGGGGGAAAAAGTCAAGTGGTATACTAAGGAGCAAACTTAAATTCTATAGATACAAGATAAGAAAATCATTAAGTGAAGGTGTGATAGGGTGCGAACTGAGAACCATTATAAAACCTAATGACTTTTAAAACTATTATTTTCATATTGGAATTTATCAATAACACCAATACAAGTTGTAAGAATTGAAAACTAATTCTTTACTGGTTCACATAGTACTAAATATATTCATGGAAAGATGTATACAGTTTTGTTTTCTATATTTTAAGAAAGCAGATCATGAAAATATTTAAAGGTAAGTGAAACACACTCTCCTTTACTTTCTTATACTTGAGGATGCTATAATCATACATCCAGTCCCATATAGAATTTTAATATTCTCTGAAAAATGAAAAAACACACTATGAGAATTCAACTGTTCATATACTTACAGGAAATAGTGGGGGTGGTTTCAACACTACATCAGGTAACTTTTCACCTTTGCTAAATCCAACAGCCTCAATATTAAAGGTATAAGCAGCACGTCCTCTTCCTTTATTCCCAGCCATCAGAACCAGTTATACCAGATGAGTGGGCAAATTCTGAAAGGCACTATTAATGATTACGATTTACTGGATCACATATAAAAAAGAAATCAACACTTTAAAGCAAAATATAAAACTGCACCCCTTAAGTAGCACAGTTGACTTAAAATACTTTTGGAAAGCAAAACATGTACACAAATAAACATGTGACAACTGACTGTTGAACTGCTCACACTCACACACCTCTGGCAGGTAAGATAATGATGGCTTCAACCCCCTCACCCACTACTGCCCCACATCCAGTCCACGCAATTCACCCACCCTTCTGTGGTTTGGCAGTAGGATCTCAGATGTAATGTACATAAAAAGTGGACACAAGACAAGACCAGGCTGATGAGGAGAAGAAATCTTTCATGTCAACATAAAAACTATCATTAGTCATATATACTTTAAGACTTTAAATGATTTATCTTAGCATGTGAGTGTTTGGAAGAATCCCTGAGATCTAGTCCAATGTCTTCCTTCTAGAAATGGGAATGGGATCAATGAGACTCGAAAGATGCCTGTCCAAGAAAAAAAAAATTCAGAGAAAAACAGTTAAAATCATTAAAGTTATGATAAACCTGTACTCTTCAATTTTGGAGACAGGAGTGATATCACATATGCAAGTTGTATTGAACGTTTGAATCCTCTGATTATACTATGAGAACTGAGCTGCCAATGTATAAACAGGGATCCCTACGCTAGAGTTCTTTCAATAGAAGTCTGCATTCAACTGTAGTGATGATTATAATGCACATTCTTTACATTTCTTTCCCTGCTGATAATACTGAGCCTCATTTAACCCCTTGAACCCAAGAGAGAAATGGTATGTCCCCTGGACCACTCGGAGGAAGTCAGAGGAGTGGCATTGGTTTTGGCCCCATCAGCTCAGTCTCATTTCTGAATCTACTCACTTGCCCTCCTTGCAAAATTATGCAAGCCACAGTACTTCACACAGCTGCTCTACTCTTCACCAGGGTTTCTTGCCTGGTCATTAATGTTACCCTTCTTAGTCTACCACATTAATGGTGAAGGAACACTACGTAAAACCAACAAGGTGCTACGTCTTTATATCAATTTTACTGTCTACAATTTGAATATAGGCACTATTTTGGACCAAAAGGCTGAAAACTCCCAGCTCACTTTATCACAGGGCCAACACTACAAAGCAAGCGGCTCTCAGTTCTCAACCCTGGCTGCCATTAGAATGACTTGGGTGGCTTAAGAAACTAGAGCAATGGTTCTCAAAGAGTGCTGTCTGCAGCAGCATCACTCAGAACTTGGTAGAAATGCAAACTGTGAGTTCCACCACAGACCTAAAGAAAAAAGAAACTGTGAGTGGGCCCAGCACTGGTGTTTTAAGAAGCCTTCCAGATAATTCTATGTATGCTAAGTTCTGTGAATCACTGAACTGAACCAATCAATCCAGATCTCTTGGGGTGAGGATTGGGCAAGAGTCAGTTTTAGAAGCTTCCCAGGTGATTCTAATACACAGCAAATGTTAAGAGTATTGGTAGAACTGTTTTGGTGGAAGTCTTAGCTACTAAGGAGTAGTTGAGTTAAAATACACATGTAGAATCAAGGACTTCATAGATCTCATCTTTGAGGTTTAAAATTATAAAATTAGCCTTAGCAACTTAAAAATATTTGCCTTAAAGGTAAGATAACTATAATTGCTGTAAATCTATGTAACACTCAGGATGTGGCAGTCCAAGTTTTAATTCATTTGCAAGGAATAGCAGTAACAAGGCATTGCACTTTTAGACAGCCAATTTAATTTTTTAAATATTTTATTTATTTATTTTTTTCACTGCAACCTCCCTCCCTCACTTAAGCAATTCTCCTGTCTCAGCCTCCTAAGTAGCTGGGATTATAGGCGCGCACCACCATGCCCGGCTTATTTTTTTAGTAGAGACGGGGTTTCACCATGTTGGCCAGGTTGGTCTCAAACTCCTGACCTCAAGTGATCTGCCTGCCTCGGCCTTCCAAAGTGCTAGGATTATAGGCATGAGCCACCGTGCCCGGCCAATGGCACCCTGCCAATGATGGCCAATTTTAATGTCCTTCTACATTTAAGGCCCCAGAAGCAAATCATATATTCAACATCTTTATGTAATGAAACATCGTTTCCTGTTTTCTGTGAATTACTCAAGTAGAATGCACGGCATTTGATTTGACATAATGGCTATGATACTGAGAACATTTTCAGATATGATTTTGTAACTGCCCAAGGCGTTCACCCTGCCTGCTGTCTGGACAGAGCTGATTTATCAAGACAGGGGAATTGCAATACAGAAAGAGTAATTCACACAGAGCTGGCTGTGCGGGAGACCGGAGTTTTATTATTCCTTAAATCAGTTTCCCCGAAAACTCGGAGATCAGAGATTTTTTTTTTTTTTTTTTTTTGAGACGGAGGAGTTTCGGTCTTGTTGCCCAGGCTGGAGTGCAATGGCATGGTCTCCGCTGACTGCAACCTCCGCCTCCCGGGTTCAAGCAATTCTCCTGCCTCAGCCTCCCGAGTAGTTGAGATTACAGGCGTGCGCCACCATGCCTGTCTAATTTTGTATTTTTAGTAGAGACGGGGTTTCTCCATGTTGGTCAGGCTGGTCTTGAACTCCCAACTTCAGGTGATCCACCCGCCTTGGCCTCCCAAAGTTCTGGGATTATAGTTGTGAGCCACTGCGCCCAGCCAGAGATCAGAGATTTTAAAGTTAATTTGGTGGGTAGGGGGCCAGTGAACTGGAAGCGCAGATAGGTTGGCTCGGGGATGAAATCATAGGAAGTCAAAGCTGTTCTCTTCTGCTGAGTCAGTTCCTGGGTGGGGGCCACAAGATCAGAAGAGTCAGTTAATCGATCTGGGTAGTGCCCCCTGATCCATCAAGTGCAGGGTCTGCAAAATATCTCAAGCACTGATCTTTGGAGTGGTTTAGGGAGGGTCAGAATCTTGTAGCCTCCAGCTGCATGACTCCGAAACTATAATTTCTAATCTTGTGAATAATTTCTTAGTCCGACAATGGCAGTCTAGTCCCCAGGCAAGGAGGAGGTTTGTTTTGGGAAAGTCTGTTATCGTCTTTGTTTCAAACCATAAACTAATTTCCTCCCAAAGTTAGTTCAGCCTATGCCCAGGAATGAACAAGGACAGCTTAAAGGTTAGAAGCAAGATGGAGTCACAGTTAGGTTAGATCTCTTTCACTGTCTCAGTCATAATTTTGCAAAGGTGGTTTCACGCCCAAGAATGAACAAGGACAGTTCAGAGGTTAGAAGCAAGATGGGATCAATTAGGTCTGATATCTTTCACTGTCATAATTTTCTCAGTTATGACTTTTGCAAAGTTGGTTTCAATCCCTCCCTTTGGGTTTCATAGTTTTACATTATTCATTTCGTAAATTTATCCCTGCAGGCCTCCATATTTGAGTTTTCCTTCATAACTGCTTGAACACTAAAAGTTGATTTGTCATCTTTAATGTTGTCGTTTTAAACTACAAGTCTATGCCTTTTTTGGTTTACTAATACTTACATTTACTATACTTACATGCACAAAAGTCAGTATATTAAATCTCCATATACCCACTACTCAGCTTCAAAATTATCCGTATATGACTATTGTACTTTAACTATACTTTTCTACTCCCATGCTTCAGATTATTTTAAACTCTTCAGTATGTATCCTCTCTCAGAGTTAAGGGCTTTTAAAAAAATCACAATAACATTGCATCTACAATTTTAACAATAACTCTATACCATCATCTTATATAGAACTAACATTCACATTTCTTAGTTATCACATAAATGTTTTTACAGTTAATTTGTTCAAATCAAGATATAAAAAATACATGACATTTAACTTTCTTTTAAACTGTAATGGTTTTCCCATTTTTTTTTCTTTCTATTTGTCTAAGAAACTAGGTCAGTGCCCTATACAATGCTTCTTAAACTTTAGGTACAAGAGAATTACCTAGGAATCTTGTTAAAAGGCAGATTTTGAATCAGTTGGCTGCAGACAGAAACTGAGAATCTGAATTTTTATCAAGGTCTCAGGAGACATCAACTGGTTTGTAAACCATACTTTGAAAGTAGCAAAGCTATATAATTTCCCATATTCTGGATTTGACTGATTTATACCTGAGATGTGATTTAACATATTCCTGTATTCTCTGGGTGTATTTCCAATAAACAGGTAAACTAGAGGTTTAGATTTGGGTTTGATTTTTTTTTTTTTTTCAAGAATACTGAAAAGGGATGCTCTCTCTTTCCTTCTCTATTACATCAAGATGAACATAAAGTCTCCCTCTTGGTATTGATCAGGCTGGTCATGGGTTCAGGTGTTGGTCTATTTCATTAAGTATAAAGTGTCCATCAGTTTTCACCTAATGATTTTAGCAGTCACTGATGATCACAATCTAGATCAATTTTTCCATTATGAATTGCAAAATGGTGGTATACAAATTTTATCTTTCTTTCTGTTTTATTAATTGGAATTCCACCAGGGATCAATTTCTCTTATCTATTATTTAGTTACCTTGAAATAAAGTTCATACAGGAACTATATTTATTTTAATAGCCCAGCTTATTACATCTCTCTACATTAAAAAAGCAGGAAAATATCCAAATGGACTTGTTTCAATTGCTGAGTCACTAAAACATATGCTGAGCCTAGAGAAAGCGTATCTCCCAAGTATCAAAACTGCTGAGCAGAAGGGGTCACACCTTTCACTCTAAGAAACAACTGCAAGAGCCCACTAGGCCTACTCAAAACCACTGGGCTGCACTCCAGTCCAGGATTTGCCACTACTTAAAGATTAAAAACAATTCCAGGTAAAGTTTACCAGACTTTCCTCATCATGAAAATTAACTGGAGGACCTGCTAAACATAGAGTCCTAGGCTTTCTTCAAGCCCTCAAACCTACCATACCAGAATCTTTGGAGGTGGGCCCTGGAAAAGTTTGGAAAACTCACCCTAAAAAAAGAGGACACCAGCTAGCACTGCTTCATGGAACAGCTCTTGAAAAATAACAAACTCTATTGACTCTAAATTTCCATTTTTATCAAGCAATCTTTGGGTGTATGAATTGCTATCATTAGCGAAGGTACCACCCTTGCCAGAAAAACTTCCTAGCTTTTGACACATTTAATAATTATGTGGCATTCCAGCCTACAAACCCATCTCTTTAAGTTAGTTTTCATGAATCCATTACCCTGTACACAGAGGAGCTGATAAATTCATTTTCTTCTCCTGCAGAGCTCAGAGAGAGTCCCTGGATCCTGGTAAATGTATCATGAAAGAAACAGCCTACAAGTGAGACTGTGGTTGAGTTAACCACTGTCTCATTCCTTTTTCAATACACCAAACTCTAGAATAAAGGAGTTTTAGTGCTTTCTATATTTCCTCATGCTCCAAATGTTTCTCTACTTCATATGGCCCAATTTCATTGAGTCATTCATTCAACCAATATTGAGCATTCCAGGCACTGTGCTAGGAGCCAGAGAGCACTGATCAATCATATTCTTTCTAAATGTCACTTTCTTTGCAATTTCTCTACCATAATCCAGCTCAGTCCTTTTTCACCTCACTTCTGATTAACTGCAAACTTTGTGGTATCCCTTGTTCTTCCTGTTTAATTTATGGATCCACATTACTCATCCTAAAGCACAGTTTTGATTCTGCTACTCTCCTCATCTTCCCTCTTGGCTAACTGAATTAAATCCAAACTCCCTATTTACTCAGAGCCCTTTTAAGATGGTTGCACCCTATTCTCCTGACTCACTATAGTCATGTCTTGAATACCAGTCTTTCCACTGCAACTTACTCCCTCTGCCTCCCTGACTTGCTACATCCCTTTTCACCAAAAAAGCCAGTTTAAGTCCCTCAGCAACCACAACAACCACTTCATCCCACATTGCTCTTGGAAAGATCCTCCTGTTAAAACACAGATTAAAAAAAAAAAATTTCAGGTGATATATGTTGCCACACTTGTCAATTTTCAAAGAAATAGAATACCACTTTTGGGAAATTGATCTTTTCCAAAGGGGAGGAGTTTCACCTATGTTTTTCGTTTGTTGTTTGTTTGTTTTTTCCCGAGATGGACTCTTGCTCTGTCGCCCAGGCTGGAGTGCATTGGTGCGATCTCGGCTCACTGCAACCTCCGCCTCCCGGGTTCAAGCAATTCTCCTGCCTCAGCCTCCAGAGTAGCTGGGATTACTGGTGCCTGCCACCAAGCCCGGCTAATTTTTGTATTTTTAGTAAAGATGGGGGTTTCACCATGTTGGCAAGGCTGGTCTTGAACTTCTGACCTTAGGTGATGTGCCTGCCTCAGCCTCCCAAAGTGCTGGGATTACAGGCATGAGCCACCGCGCCTGGCTGTTTGTTGGTTCTGTGTTAAGCAGGGATTTTATCCTCCCTACTGTCTACCATAGTGCTTCCTATATAGCAACAGCTCCACAATTAATGTCAAGCTTACCCTATTTGTGCACTGTGATTTGATGAGCAAATCTACCCACAGAAGGACAATTCAGTCAGCCCATTATTAAGGCTTTTTTCCCCCTTTCTTTGAGTGGGACCTGGCTGCACATTGGAATCACTGAGAGAGGTTTTAAAGAAAAGAAAACCCAGGATTCACCCCAGAACAATAAAATCAGAAGCTCTGGAGGTACCATTTAAGCATCAGGACTTTTTAAAGCATCCCAGGAGATTACAGTGTGCAACCCAAATTAAGAACCACTGCATTTTTAGTAGAGACAGGGTTTCACCATGTTGGCCAGGATGGTCTTGATCTCTTGACCTCGTGATCTGCCCTCCTCGGCCTCCCAAAGTGCTGGGACTACAGGCTTAGCTGGACATGGTGGCACGCGCCTGTAGTCCCAGCTACTCGGGAGGCTGAGGCAGGAGAATCACTTGAACCCGGGAGGTGGAGGTTGCTTGCGCCGCTGCACTCCAGCCTAGGCGACAGAGTGAGGCTCCCTCTCAAAAAAAAAAAAAAAAAGAACCACGCAGATTAAACCTCCCATTTTACAGAAGAGGAAAGCAACACCCTAAGCGGTTACTTGATTACCTAAAGACGCAAAGCTAATTCCTAACAAAAGCAGGACTGCTTTACCTTTCCACTGTTCTTCCATTTGCATTACACTTCAGGAAGCATAGGTCTAGGCTGGTTAGAAGACTTTTTTAATCCCAGGGAGGTCTTTATTCAATGAAGTGAATTAATAACTGCAAAACAGACTCAATTAAAAATGTAAAATCAGTAGCATTGCCCCTTCCATTTCAGGATGTCTCCTGAAAATTTCTATTCAGAATTGTTCTGAGAGGTTTGAAAATGGGTGTAGTTTAAGCATCCAAGAGCTGAAATAAAAAAGTCAATTTTAATCAACTACCAAAACAACGTCCTAGCAGATGCTGAGCTAATCTCTGAAATTCCTCCTAGTTCTAACATTTTATGAGTTATGAGGTAACTGAAATGTCTTGTCCTCCACGTCTTACACAGTTCCTTGTCCACACTGAGGCAGGAAAATAGGGTCTGGAGGCAGGGAACAAAAGGCCAATTCACATTACGGCTATGACAGGAAATATCCTCTCCATAGGGCATATGCCAAGTAAATGACTTTGTAACTTTACTTCATCCTCTTCATTTACATAGGGTGTACACCAAGTAACTAAATGGAAACCCCTAGAGGGTATTTAAACCCCCACAAATTCTGTAAGGGGACCCTTGAGCCCATATGCTCCACCCACTGCCTCACTGGAGTGTACTTTCATTTTCAGTAAGTATCTGCTTTTGTTGCTTCATTCTTTCTTTGCTTTGCGCGTTTCGTCCAATTCTTTGTTCAAGACGCCAAGAACCTGGACACCCTCCACCAGTAACAACGTCAGCTCCATGAATAAATGCACAAACAGATAGAAGCAGACATAGAAGCTAGAGGAGGCAGTGAAAGTCAAGTCACGGTATTATTCCTGATGAATGACCCCTAAATTGCTACAATCAGGATAGGTATTCTGACCTGTCTACTTCCAACCCCTCATCTAATAGTAGAGGTTTACCAGCTCTGTTCTCTCTCCCATGTTCTGTTTCTTCCACCTCTGCTTCAGTTCAGACCCTCTCATCTCTCACCTGGACCTCTAAAACAGAACAAATAAACTTCCTGTGGCCGGATTCTCCCTTTCAATCCACTCTGCAGTCTAGGGTATCTTTCTGGAATACAAATCTTGACATGTGACTCTCCTTAACAGAGCTTTGGAGTCTTTCTGCCTCTCACCACAGGCACCCCACGCTGTGGCCAAGTCAACCATTGCATGCCTGGAGTGCCCTTCCTGCCACATCCACTTAAGCCCCAGGTTCTTTTCAGATGCCATGCAAATGACACTTTCTCCATGACAATTTCTTCCACCCTACATGGAGGTAGGCCTCTCCCTTCTCTGTGTTTCCCAAGTACTACTCTGCTTTTAAGCCCTTTTTACAATCATGTTGTAACTGTCAGCTCTTATCTGTCTCCCAGGGAGCCTCTTCAATCCAATCAAGTATTTATTAAGCACCCTCATCGTCAGGCCGTCTTCTATGAATTGGGAATACAGTAGTGAACAAAACAAAATTTCTCCTCTCATGAAGCTCATAGTCTAGGGTAAGAAACTGACAAAATATATTTTATAGGAAATGTCAGGAAATGATAAGAAAAATAAAGACAGGAAACATGGATGCTATTGTGGAAAGGGTGGCTGAAGAAGTCCTCTCTTACTTGGTGATACCTGAGCATAAGCCTGACAAAAGTAAGGCAAAGAGCCATGTAGAGAATTAAAAAAGGATATCCAGTGAGATGTGGGATGCAGGCAGGGGGACCTGGAAGTGTGAAGGTCTCCTTGGAAACTTATTCTCCTTTTTATGTCCCCATTACTAACGAAAGCCTAGCAAAAGGCCAATGATTATTGGATAAATTATTGCTGAGCTCATGGCCTGGTAGAGATATCACTCCATTTCACCACTAGTGGCTTGCTTCTGCCTAGAGAAAAAGTACCCAGACTACTGAGGGCCCTATATTACTCTGCTGAGAATGCCCTAAAAGTAGTCTTTTAAGGCCAGCTCAAAAGCCACTCCTCACGAATCCCTTCCACCTGTATTCTTACTGAATCTAGCTTTTACTTCCTCTGTGGTACATACCCCGTAATGCTTTATTTTGCAAGTAATTGTGTACAGACATTATCTTCCCTCAAACTCCTGAGAATCCAGATTATGACCTTTTTACACAACTCTGTTCATGAATTACCCAGCTCAGCGACTTGTGCATAAGGAAAGCCCCCAGCTGAGTAACCGAATAATCTCTGTGAAGATTAGCAAAGTATTTAGAAAAGCTGCATGCCCACCAAAGACTTTAGGAGGGTAGGAAAGGAGCGTACACCTCTCCTTCCATGAAGGCTTATTAGTAGTTGTCACAGTAAAGGTTATCATAATTCTTTTGTAATGCTGTCTCATGAGTCTCTTTATCATTTTTCCTGACTAACTTAAGAGGTTAGTTAAGTTCTCAAGGGAATTTCTGAAGCCTAAATAGATGCTTCTGGCCGGGTGTAGTGGCTCACGCCTGTAATCCCAGCACTTTGGGAGGCCGAGGCAGGCGGATCATTTGAGGTCAGGAGTTCAAGACCAGCCTGGCCAACATGGTGAAACCCCGTTTCTATTAAAAATACAAAATTAGCCGGGTGCAGTGGCAGGCGCCTGTAACCTCAGCTCCTCGGGAGGCTGAAGCAGGAGAATCGCTAGAACCCAGGAGGCGGAGGATGCAGTGAGACGAGATCGCGCCACCGCACTCCAGACTGGGCAACAGAGACTCTGTCTCAAAAAACAAACAAACAAACAAAAACCCTAAATAGATATTTCAATAGCTGGGAAGCGGGGAGTGGAGACAGTGACCTGATGTTAACAGAGCGGATGATTTATGTGGCTGGCGGGGCCACACCCAGTCATTATTCACTTTTCCCGTCCTCACCAGGTGCTCCTTTTCTTTATTTGAGCCTTTCTACCAACTCGCTTTACTCTCTTCCAAGGGCAGACAAACCAAAATAAATAAATAAATAAATAAATAATAATAAAATTAAAAAAAGGGTGGATATAGAATTTTATTTTTTATAAGAAAAGACAAACCATATTAACAACTCCCTTCCCTACGATATAAAGTGCCAACAGTTACGAAAACAGATACTGAATAGTCGGTCCTCAGCTGCAATCTGCGGCAATGACTAGTGCCTAAAAAATCATAAAGCCATGGATTTTGAAAATAACCTACTATCAGTAAGAGCATAAATACCCTTCTAACTCACTGCAAACAGTCCTAGGAGTAGAGACTAGGTAAGATCTGGAAATTGGACTTAAAAAATTCTGAAGGGAGCAGGACAAGGAGGGGAGGTACCAAGCTATCTCCAAACGCCCCTCAAACCAGAGGCGCTTTAATGAATCTCTACCCCTGACTTCCCCTCACCTTTTCCACGTGCCCCTTTAATTCCCCTCTACCCTCACCACCCCTCCCAAGTCTTCGATTGCTTCCTCGGTTACCTGCTCCCTAAGTCTCGAAGCGTGGGCAAAACTCTGCAGCCGAAGTGCCGGCCGGCAAGGAAAGGGTGACGGCAGAGAACGCCGGCGCTTGACTGCCGCCCGTTCCACCTCGGGAGAAGCGCGCACCGACCTGCACGCGGCACCAGGACCGCGGAGTGAGCCCTACCAACTAGCCCCGCCCACTCCCTAGGAAGGCCCCACCCCCTCGGCAAAGAGGTTTTTTTGCCCTTGGCAGGCGCCGTAGTCGCCGTACAACCCGCGAGGCCCCACACTTTCTGCGCCAGCTGGGAGTGCGCGCCCTGCAGAGCCAGTGGGTGGGCGGTTCTAGCTCTTCCCACCCTCACTGCGGGCCTCTGCTGTCACACGCCCGGGGTGGCGAAACGGTCGCCACCTGAGTCTCCATTCTGCTGCAGTGGCCCCTGCGTTAAAGCTCTCTCGTGGTGCGGCTGCCGAGGCTGCGGTAGCTCCTGCGCCCCCGTGCTGGTGGCGCAGCCTCTGCTTGCTGCCGACCTGGCGGAAGGGTGCGGGAGCGCACGCTACGGGCAGCGTCGGTCTGCGTCCTTCCTCCTCCTATTCCGACCCCCGCATCCCACGCCCCCGCCTCGCTCTACGCCTCCTCCCTGGCTGCAGGCAGACCGCTTCACACAGCCGCAGTGCCCTGTGTGTGGACAGCCTGTGGGAGACTCGCACGCCCACACTCACCCCGCCTGGCTGCACCCCTGCCCAGCATGTCGGCGCTCGAGTGGTACGCCCACAAGTCTCTAGGCGATGGTATCTTCTGGATTCAAGAACGTTTCTACGAGTCGGGCAACCGTGCCAACATCTGGCTGGTGCGCGGCTCCGAGCAGGACGTGGTGATCGATACAGGCCTGGGGCTGCGCAGCCTCCCGGAGTACCTGTACTCCTCCGGCCTCTTGCAGGACCGAGAGGCCAAAGAGGACGCGGCGCGCCGGCCACTGCTTGCCGTGGCCACCCACGTGCACTTCGACCACTCCGGCGGCCTCTACCAGTTCGACCGCGTGGCAGTGCACCACGCCGAGGCCGAGGCGCTGGCTCGCGGGGACAACTTTGAGACCGTGACCTGGCTTTCCGATAGCGAGGTGGTGCGGACGCCCAGCCCCGGCTGGAGGGCCAGACAGTTCCGGGTACAGGCGGTGCAGCCCACCCTCATCCTGCAGGATGGTAATGGGCCCCCGCGGGCGCGCGCTCTCGTTAAGGGAGGGTATTGGGAAGAGACTGTCCGAGTGCCGCATGTTGCAGACTTGCGTGGCCATAAAGGGGATTATTTTGGCACCTCGCAGAGCCACTTCTGTTTCACCCTTCCCTGAGTAAAAACCCACTTGACCAGAGTCAAGGCCATCACAGCCTTCCCTGCCAGAGACCAGCTCTGGCATCGTGTAGAGATTCTGAGTACTCCTTTGAAAGCCGGCACCACCCCCTCCCTAGCCACTTTCCTGCATCGGCTGTAGCAGTAACACTACAAAGACTTGTGACTGACTAGGGATTTCTCATTCTTTCCCTAAGCACCTGCCCGACATTTCCAGGAGCTTTCGTAGTGAGCAGACTTTTAAGGAATGACCCCTCACGGAGAGTGCATGTCATGATCTGTGCTTTTGAGAATTGCAGACTTCATCAGCTTGGTCCCCACCGGGTATGGGCAGTTCCCACCTGTAGCCTTAGAGAGTCATCAGACCAGTGATTCCAATCCGCTAATGCGATTGGAAACCTTTCAGATAGGTTTCTGTTCTTGATGTTGCCTCACGATTGCAAAAGCTTAATAGTAATCATAAACGTAGAATATGTCTGAGTCTTACTTTATGACAGATATTTGGTCCGGTTGAAAGCAAAGCCTGAGAAAGATCAATAAGGAAGTAATTTTCGGTAGAGGTAAATTATGTGGACTAATGCATAGGTAGCCATGGTCCTCTTTGGCTCTGTGAAAGACAAGTATGGAATTCAGAGAGAAATTCATGGAATGAAAATAAATAGGGCCTCAGCCCATTCTCCCTACGTAGGGACTTAAATAATTGAGCTAATTCGCCACATCAGCAATATTTGGTATATTAGTTTTCTATTTTCTTTTTAAAATACTTTTGATTTCATTTTATCTTCACAACACATTTAAAGTGAGGCCACTGACCCCCCAGTTAAATGGCTTGCCTGAGCCAGATCATGATAAAAGCTAGGATATGAATCTAGGCACAATAGATCAAGGCATGCAGAACATACATAAATCCTGCCTCATAAATATATGATGATTTTGAGTAGAATGTGAAAGGCCCCTTCTTTCCTTTAGCGTGAGATCATTTTAATTACCAATGTGGTATATTAAAACGTGCCTCTATATGGTAGAAAAATTCAGTTGCTGCAGTATAATGAAGCTCACTTTATGACCAAACAATATGGCAAATAATGAAATATTTTACAAAAATCAGTTTATCTCACAGATGACATCTTCATTTGAGATATTTTAAAAATTGCAATATTGTACTGCTTATCGGTGCTAAAAAAAAAATTGCAAGATTCTGTACCTCACACCCACCGAACAAGTCTTCATTAAAGTTTTAAATCTAAATTTAAAAAAAAAAACTGATTTAGATAAGAGTCTTACATTATCTGACAATATGAGATGAAAGTACATGTACATTAAATTTTAATTCACATTAAAGTCACACCTAATTACTGTATTTCTTGATAAAAATGGGTACTTTTAGAGGTAACATTTCCATGCAGTTGATAGGTATTCAGACTAAATTCTGACACCCGGATCAAAAATGTTTACATTGGTATTAAAATATACTTAAATTGTTGAAAAGAATAAATTACTTTTGAAATTTACTTTTGATTCTGTGTCAGCAATGGGAAATCAAAGGTGAGAGAATGATAGGGGTTTTTTATAGATGAAGAAAGAACCCATGCAGGGCTGAGTATCATGTGTGAGGTCACATACCCCATCTCGGAAAGAGCTGGGACTAGAACCCAGGTTTCCAGTTGATGGTAGAATCCCAACATTTTTGGAGCTGAAAGGGGCCTGCAAACTACTTGTGTGGTGCTTTAAGCCTTTAAAAGGGTGAAAAGAAAGCTTAATGTTTACCAAACACTTTGAAGGTGATAGTACTGTGTTATCCGTGTTATCAAAAGTTGTTTTTCATTAGGAGCTGGATGCCCCACCCTCTCAGGTAGTGTCTAATTTCCTCTCTTCTCAAGAATATTAATTTCCCGTATCTTCTGAATGATGTGGCCTGCTAACTTGCTGTTAACATAATCCAGGTGCCTGGGAGGATACATAAAATATTTGTATTAAAAATTTGTATACAGTTACACACATGAACAGCATAAAGTCTTCATTGCTTTGGTAGAATGCAAGGAGCTGAAATCATTTATTACATTTCCTTTAATGAATTGATGATCACTTGTCATGGAGAAGCATAAATCTGTGCACTGTATCTCTAACCCAAAAGCCGACTTGTAAATGAGGGACAAGGAGAGAATAGCCATATCTTCCAGTGCATTATTCTGGATAAAAAAGCAACTCGCCCTACTAATAGTGAAATGGTTATCTTCCTCTAAGATAGCAGCAGACCTTAAATTGACATAGTACATACCTCTCGAGTGGGCATACATCATTTTGCCCATTTTTCACTATAGTCAAGTGATACAAAGTTCTGGCATTGTGATCCCTATTACATACATGTTTAAACCATATGCCCAGTGTCACCAAGATATTATCTCAGAGGAGTGGTTTCAGGTGGACTTAAGTCATTTGCAGAGGCTAAAACAGGTTGTAGGAAGGTGGTGGATTGAACAGACACATCTAATTTGGCTCTCTTCCGAAGCACTGTTGAACTGTGAAAAAATCGTGATTTCAATTTAAATCCCCATTGGCGGGGGGAACTGTTTTGGATGCTAGAAAGTAGATGTGGTGACTAAGTTAACAGTTTTATACTATGCCAGCAAAGGGAAATTAAGAGCCAATTCAGTTTGCACCGCTGAAGCCTTAAAAAACTCAGGAATTTGCAATAGGCAGTAGTACCTCAGTGGCGGCAAAGGGAAGAGTAAGCAGAATTTCTTGAAAACCTTTTAAGAAGCTCTTAAAACTCTAGTGAATGCCCCTCCCTCTCCCATCCAATTAGTTTATTCTCTGGGGATAGTAAAACAAAGGAGTTTCTTGATTGAAGGATGCCAAATTACTGTTGAGCTTAAGGGCTCAGTATGGAAAACAGGAGAAAGAAAGCGTGTGTGTGTGTGTGTGTGTGTGTGTGTGCGCGCGCGCTAGTTTTCTAGAAGGATGAGAGACAGGAGAAAGAGTGTGTGTGTGTTCTACTAGTTTCCTAGAAGGATGAGAGCCAGGCCTTTCCCCACCCAGGTAGGAAATTAGAAAAATGTTATCTAGGGAATCTGCCTCCTAGAAGAAAGACTAAGATACCAATGTAGAGGAATACCTAAGAAATCCTGGCCTCTTTCTCTACTGTGAAGCCTTGGTCACCAGGCCCCATGCATGTGCTGCAAGCAGCCTTCTTGTCCCCCCTTCTTTTTTTTAATTGATACCTAATAGTTGTAATTACTTATGGGGTACGTGTGATATTTTGATAAACGCATACAATGTAATGATCAGATCAGGTTATTTAGAATATCCATCACCTCAAACATTTATCATTTCTTTGTGTCAGAAACATTCCAAATCTTCTAGCTATTTTGAAACATGCAATAAATCCTTGTTAACTCTAGTCTATCAAACACTGGAACTTACTTCTTTTATCTAACTGTATTTTTGTACCTATTAACCAATCTCTTCATTCCCTTCCCCCCTACCCTTTCCAGCCTCTGGTAACCACCATACTAGCACTACCTCCCACATATGAGTATAAACGTGGGATATTTGTCATTTTGTGCCTGGCTTATTTCACTTAACATAATGCCCTCCAGTTCCATCCATGTTGCTGCAAATGACAGGATTTCATTATTTTTTATGAGTGAATAATTCCACTGTGTATATTTTCCCACATTGTCTTTATCCATTCATCTGTTGATGGACACTTAGGTTAATTCCACATCTTGGCTATTGTGAATATTGCTGCAATAAACATGGGAATGCAGTTATCTCTTTAGTATTCTGATTTCCTTTCTTTTGGATGTACATACCCAGCAGTGGGATTGCTAGGTCGTATGGTAGTTCTATTTTCAGTTTGTTGAGGAACCTCCATACCATTTTCCGTAGTTGCTGTACTAATTTACATCCCCACTAACAGGGTACAAGCATTCCCCTTTCTCCACATCCTTGTCAGCATCTGTTATTTTCTGTCTTTTTGACAATAGCCATTTTTACTCATGCCCCCCAACTCTTAAATAGGCAACCAAGCATTATAAAAAAACAGAAAATTCTCTAACATGAGATCAGCTATTAAAACAAACAGCATAAAGCAATTTGAGAGTGGGGAACTATCATCAATATCATCAGGGGGATAAGACAAGCTATTGCATTCAAGATATCCAAGAGTCAGTAAGGATGCTTTAAAAATAAATAGAACAATATTCACCAAAAAAAAAAAACTCTTAGAATTTAAAACATCAGAAATTATGTAGCAGCAGGTCTGGAAGATAAAGTTGAAAAACTTACTAAAGATCAGTACAGGAAAATGGGAACTAGGAGAGAAAAAGACTAAAATAAGTAGGAGGACCAGTTTGGAAAATCCAGCCTTAGAATAATGGATGCAGAGATAGGACAGAGAAGGTGAAAGAAAAGAAATAGTAGGGTGGCTGGGCACAGTGGCTCATGTCTGTAATCCCAATAATTTGAAAGGCCGAGGAGGGCGGATCACCTGAGGTCAAGAGTTCAAGACCAGCCTGGCCAACATAGTGAAACCCCGTCTCTACTAAAAATACAAAAATTAGCTGGGTGTGGTGTTGCATGCCTGTAATCCCAGCTACTCGGGAGGCTGATCTTGGTTATTTCTTTTTTTCTCCTGGGTTTGGGTTTGGATTGTTCTTATATTTTCTAGTTCCATGAGGTGTGACCTTAGATTGCCTATTTATGCTCTTTCAGACTTTTTGATGTAGGCATTTAATGCTATGAACTTTCCTCTTAGCACTGCTTTTGCCGTATCCCAGAGGTTTTGATAGGTTGTGTGTCACTATTAGTGTTCAGTTCAAAGAATTTTTAAATTTCCATTTTGATTTCATTGTTGACCCAATGATCATTCAAGAGCAGGTTATTTAATTTCTATATATTTGCATGGTTTTGAGGGTTTCTTTTGGAGTTGATTTCCAATTTTATTCCACTGTGGTCTGAGAGAACACTTGATACAATTTCAATTTTCTTAAATTTACTGAGTCTTGTTTTGTGGCCTATCATATGGTCTATCTTGGAGAATGTTCCATGTGCTGATGAATAGAATGTAAGAAATCAAAAACATGATACAAGATATGAAAGGTAAATTCTTCAGTGAAATAGATAGCATAAATAAAAAACAGTTACAACATCTGGAAATCAAGGACATATTTAGAGAAATTCAAAATGCACTGGAAAGTCTCAGCAATAGAATCAAACAAGCAGAAGAAAGAACCTCAGAGCTCAAAGACATGGCTTTTGAATTAACCCAATCCGTCAAAGACGAAGAAAAAGGAATTAAAAAAAAATGAACAAGGCCTCCAAGAAGTCCGGGGCTACGTTAAATGTCCAAGTCTAAGAACAATTGGTGTTCCCAAGGAAGAAGATAAATCTAAAAGTTTGGAAAACTTATTTGAAGGAATAATCGAGGAAAACTTACCCAGCCTTGCTAGAGATCTAGACATCCAAATACAAGAAGCTCAAAGAACACCTGAGAAATTAGTCACAAAAAGATCATCACCTAGGCACATAGTCATTATGTTATCTAAAGTCAAGATGAAAGGAAAGAATCTTAAGAGCTGTGAGAAAAAAGCATCATGTAACCTGTAAAGGAAAACCTATCTAACAGCAGAAACTCTACAAGCTAGAAGGGATTGGGGTCCTATTTTTAGCCTTCTTAAACAAAACAATTATCAGCCAATAATTTTGTATCCAGTGAAACTACACTTCATAAATGAAAGAAAGATACAGTCTTTTCTAGACAAACAAATGCTGAGGGAATTCACTGCTACCAAGCCATCACTACAAGAACTGATAAAAGGAGCTCTAAATCATGAAAGAAAACTTTGAAATACAACAAAATAGAATCTTCCTTAAAGCATAAACCTCACAGTACCTATATAACATCTAACAATAACAATGTAAAAAACAAACAAACCGCCCCCCCCAAAAAAAGAAGGTATTCAGGCAACAAATAGCGTGATGAATAGAATAGTATGTCGCATCTCAATACTAACATTGAATGTAAATGGCCTAAATGCTCCACTTAAAAGATATAGAATGACAGAATGGATAAGAATTCACCAACCAAGTTTCTGCTGTCTTCAGGAAACTCACCTAACACATAAAGACTCACATGAACTTAAGGTAAAAGGGTAGAGAAAGATTTTCCATGCATATGGACACCAAAGGTAAGCAGGCTTATATCACACAAAACAAAATGTAAAGCAACAGCAGTTAAAGAAGACAAAAAGAGGAACATATAGTGATAAAAGGACTAGTCCAACAGGAAAATATCACAATTCTAAATATATATGCACCTAACACTGGAGCTCCCAAATGTATAAAACAATTTCTACTAGACATAAGAAATGAGATAGATGGTAACACAATAATACTGGGGGACTTTAATACTCCACTTGTCGACAGTACTAGACAGGTCATCAAGATGGAAAGTCAACAAAGAAACAATGGACTTAAACTATACCCTAGAACAAATGGACTTAATAGATATTTACAGAACATTCTACCCAACAACTACATTTTTTTATTTTTTACTTTTTTGAGATGGAGTCTCTCTCTTGCCCAGGCTGAAGTGCAATGGTGCAATCTCACTGCAGCCTCTGCCTCCCAAGTTCAAGCGATTCTCCTGCCTCAGCCTCCTGAGTAGCTGGAATTACAGGCATGCACCACCACCTCTGGTGAATTTTGTGTTTTTGGTAGAGATGGGGTCTCACCATGTTGGCCAGGGTGATCTCGAACTCCTGACCTCAAGTGATCCACCAGCTTCAGCCTTCCAAATTGCTGGTATTACAGGCATGAGCCAGTGCGCCCAGCTCACATCTTTTTCAACACTTGGTTTTGTCAATCCTTTTCAATTTAGCCATTCTAGTGAGTGTGTAGTGGTACTTGATTGTGATTTAATTTGCATTCACTAAAAACTAATGATGTTGAGCATCTTTTTGGTACTTATTTGCTAATCAGATATCCACTTTATTAAATGGTATATTAAAATCTTTTTTAAAAATTCAGCTTTTTTATTATTGAGTTATGCAAGCTCTATATATTCTGAATACAAGATTTTATCAGATGTACATTTTGCAAATACCTTCTCCCAATGTGTGCCCTGCCTTTTCATTCTTAATGGTGTCTTTTTAAGCAAGAAAGTTTATAACTTGAAGTCCAGTTAGCAATTTTTGTCTCGTGTTTTATGATTGTTGTGTCATATTTAAGAGCTCTATGTCTAGCCCAAGGTCACAAAAATGTTCCCCTAATTTTTCTCTAGAAGCTCCCATATTTAGGTTTATGACTTATTTTCAGTTAATTTCTGTGAATATTTGTGAAGTAAGGGTTGAGAGGTTCTCGATTCTTATTTGTTTGTCTGCAAATGGATATACAAAGTATCCCAGTCCAGTCTGTCAAAAAGACTGTCATTTTATCCGTTGAATTATCTTGTTTGACTTTTGTCAAATATCTATTGACAATATTGTGTCTACTTTCAGACTCTCTGTTATATCGATTATGTCTATTTAGTCAGTAACACAATATTTTGATTACTGTAGCTTTATTGTACACTTGATCTTAGCCAAAAGACTGAGAAGTGATGTTTTATTGTAACTCTTGAAATTAGTATACGTCTTCTTACTGTGTTCCTCTTTTTCATAATTGTATTGGCTATTCTAGGTCATTTGCATTTCCACGTGAAATTTAGAGTCAGATTTTCAGTTTCTTCGAAAAAAGATCAAGATTTTGATTGAGATTATGTTGAATTTTTACTGGCCATTACAGTAGCCACTAGCCATGTATGGCTATCAAATTTAAATTAAGATTACCGGATATGGTGACTCACCTGTAATCCCAGCTACTTAGGAGGCTGAGGCTGGAGGATCATTTAAGGCCAGGAGTATAAGACTAGCCTAGGCAACAAAGCGAGATCCTGTCTCTAGAAAAAGTTTTTAAGTTAGCTGGGCTGGTGTCATATACCTGTAGTCCCAGCTACTTGGAAGGATCCCTTGAGCCCAGGAGTTCAGGGGTTACAGTGAGCTATAAGCGGGCCACTGCACTTTAGCCTGAGTGACAGAGATTCCATCTCTTTAAAAAAATAATTAAGATTGGTTAGAATTAAAATTTTAATTCCTTAATTGTACTAGCTTTATTTCAAGCACCATTAGCCACACCATATTGAACAGTATTGAGAACCAACATTTCAATCATTGCAGAAAGTTTTATTAGGCAGTGTAGCTATTGGAAAAATTGGGTTACATTACCATCATAGCAATATTGAGCCTTAGTGATATTGAGACAGTCAGTAAGCATAGCCTATCTCTCCTTTTATTGAGGTCTTCTTTAATTTCTCTTGACAGTGTTTTTGTAGTTTTCATTATACAGTGTTCATATATTACAAAACATCTTTTGTCAAATTTTTTCCCAAGTATTTTATTCTTTTTGATGCTATTTTGAGTCAAATGTCTTAAAATTCATTTTTGATAGTTACTTGAAGCATATAGAAATATAGTTTATCTTTGTATGTTGATCTGGTATCCTGTAACATTGGTAAACTTTTTAGTTCTCTAGCTTTTTCCTACTTAGGATTTTCTGTATGTAAGATTATGTCTAAATAAAGACAGATTTTCTTTTCTAATCTGTGAGACCTTACTCTCTTTTTCTTGGCTTATTACACTGTCTAGGATCTTCAGTATAATGTTGAATAGAAATGGTAAGAGCAGACATCCTTGCCTTGTTATCTTAGGAGACTTTCTATTCAAAGAGGTATTACCTATAGATGTTCATAAGTGACTTTTATCAAGTTCAGGACCTTCCCCAACTATTCCTAGTTTGCTGGAAGTTTTTATCATGAATGAGAATTGGATTTTGTCATATGCTTTTTATGTATCTATTGAGATAATCATATGGCTTTCTCCTTTATTAATACAGTATATTACATTAATTTATTTTCACTAGTTAAACCAAACTTAATATTTCTGGAATAAACTTCACTTGGTCATTTTCCTATTTATAAGTTGCTGGATTTGATTTGCCAATATTTTGTCAATAATTTTAAGATTGCATTCATTAGGTATATTTGTGTATAGGCTTTTTTTTGTTTTGTTTGAAAGAGTCTCCCTTTGTTGTTCAGGCCGGAGTGCAATGGCGCCATCATAGATCTCTGCAGCCTCAAATTTCTGGGCTCAAGCAATCCTTCTACCTCAGCTTCCTGAGTAACTGGGACTACAGGCACAAAACACCCTACTTGGCTTTTTAAATTATTATTTATTTTTAATTTTTATAGAAATGGAGGTCTCACTATTTTGCCGAGGCTGGTCTCAAACTCCTGGCCTCAAGCAGTCCTCCCACATGTTGCCAAAGTGCTGGGATTACAGGAGTGAGCTACCGCACCAGGCCTGATGTTGTTGTTATTTTAATATATTGTCTTTGTCTGGCTTTTATGAGGGTAATAACTGAGTTAGATTTCTCATCTGTATTCTGAAAGTCTTTATATGGGTTGAAATTATTATAGGGTTGAAATTGTCCCGTTATAAAATGATTGACAGAATTGATCAATGAAGCCTTTGAGCCCAGACTTTTCTTTGTGGGGAGACTTTAAATTGTTAATCAATTTATTTGCTTGATATACATTTATTTAGACTTCATTTCTTCTTGGATCACTTTTGATAATTTGTCTCTTTTTAAGAATATGTTCATTTCAAATAAGTTGTCAAATTTGTTGGCTTAAAATTGTTCATAATATTCCCTTATTCTCCTTTTAATTTCTTCAGGGTCTGTAGTGATGTTCCTTCTTTAATTCCTATTTTAGCAAGTTGTATCTTCTCTAATTTTTTCTTGATTTGTCTAGCTAAAGGTGTATCAATTTTGTTGTAGTTTTCAAATAAACAACTGTTGGTTTCATCTGTTTTTTTCTGTTGGTATTTGTATTCATTTATTTTTGCTCTGCCCTTTATTATTTCTATTAACACTTACTTTGTGTTTGATTTGTTCTTCTTTTCCTAACTTCTTAGGATAGTAATTTGATTGTTGATTTTAAACATTTAATCCTTTATAAAATAAGCATTTAAAGCAATACGTTTTCTTCTAAGTACTGCTTCAGCTGTATTCTATACATTTTGATATGTTTTGATTTTGTTTTCATTCATTCAAAATATTTTTATATTTCCCTTTGATTTCTTCTTTGATCCATAAACAATGTAGAAGTTTGCTGTTTGCTTTACATATATTTGAATATTGCCCATATTTATTTTTGTTCTTCCTAATTTGTTATTTTTTGTCTATTAAAAACACATAATAAGGTTGGGCGCAGTAGCTCATGCCTGCAATCCCAGCACTTTGGGAGGCCAGGGAGGGAGGATCGCTTGAGGCCAGCCTTGGCAACATGGCAACCAGCCTGGCCAACATGGCGAAACCCTGTCTCTACTAAAAATATAAAAATTAGCCAGGCGTGATGGCACACGCCTGTAATTCCAGCTACTCAGCTGGCTGAGGCACAAGAATTGTTTGAACCTGGAAGGCAGAGGTTGCAGTGAGCCAAGATTGCGCCACTGCACTCCAGCCGGGGCGAGAGAGCAAAACTCTGTCTCAGAAAAAACAAACAAAAAGACTACATGTTATCAATTTTCTGTTCATTTTGTTATTTCTAATTTAATTATGTTGTAGGCAGAGAACATACTTTGTATGATTTTATTCCTTTTACATTTATTGATTCTTGCTTTATGGCCTAGCTTTATAGCCTGTTGAATATTTCAACTACAGTTGAAAAGAATGTGTACTTTGCTGTTTTGGAGTAAAGTGTTTTATTTTTGTCAGGTCAAGTTGGTTGATAAGAGTTGTTCAGGTCTTCCATATCCTTATTGATTTTCTATTTACTTATTTTATGAATTACACAGAGAAGAATATTGAACTCTCCAAGTATCATTGTTGAATTGTTTATTGTTTGTTTGTTTTTGCTTCATGTATTTTTGGTGATGTTTTATGTGCATGTACATTTATAATTGTTATTTATCAATGTATTGATTTAATGTACATTCTCATAAAATTACTTCTTTTTAGTAATATTCTTCATGTAAAAATCAATTTTGTCTTATATTAATATTAGCTGCCCTAGTTCTCTTAACAGTAATATTTAATATGGTTAAGCTTTTCAACCTATTTGTGTCTTTGGTCTTATAGTTTCTTTCTTGTAGGCTGCATATATCTTGATTTTTAATCCAGTCTGACAATCTCTGCCTTTTTATGTTTACCAAATCCTGATTATTACACCATTTTGATTCCTTTATTATTTTTTAGCTATATATTTTTAAATTTTTTCCTGTGTATGTGCTTGCACTAGAGATTACATTATGAATCTTTTAATTTACCATGATTTACTTCAAGTTCATACTAATTTAATTCCAGTGAAACAGAGCAATTTTCCACCCATGTTGCTCCATTTCCTCTCTGCTGTCGGTAACTGAAGTCTGAGATTTTACCCTATTTGCAAGTTAGCCTGCCAGAGTTTAATGTATTCTGACAGAAGACTTGAGGTTCCTGGGTCAGAGATTAAGGAGATTATTACTCACATATTAGAGCATCATGATTTATATCAATTCCTCAAGCCCTAATTCTGACAGGGTGATACAAGAGGCAAAATACAATAAAATTCCCTAGAGCAACATTCATTAATTGTGTCAACAGGATACTGGTACCATAGATGTGCTGAAAAGTAAAAGTTTCATGATCAAATAAGTTTGAGAAATTGTACAACTATATCTACTTTGTATATATCCACAGTATACATTCATATAATAAAAGCTCAAAGAAGTCTTTCTGAAAAGAAAGCTGCTTAATTTTCTTTAAAGTGAGAGTTCCTCAAATTATTTGACCACAGAACTACCTCCTTTTCATTTATGTATCATGATAGCCTGTAGAAGTAGTGTTCCACATTACTTGCTTTGGCAAACACTGGTCTAGCAAACAATAGGAATGAACTATAGGCAGCTTATTTTTAAATCATCATTAAGAAATACAGTATTTATGAAATAAAGTGTCATCCTTCCCAATTTCTTTGGAAGCATATAATGCTCTAGTATGCTTTACATGCTAAGTCAAGTATACAACATGTTTATCTGTAAACTCTGTTTCCATTTGTAGGGGATGTGATCAACCTTGGTGACAGACAGCTCACTGTTATGCACATGCCAGGTCACTCCAGGGGCAGTATTTGCTTACATGACAAAGACCGAAAGATTCTCTTCAGTGGAGACGTCGTGTATGATGGATCACTGATTGACTGGCTCCCATACAGCAGGATAAGTGACTATGTTGGAACTTGTGAACGTCTAATAGAATTAGTGGACAGAGGTCTGGTAGAGAAGGTGCTTCCTGGGCACTTCAATACCTTTGGTGCTGAAAGGCTTTTTCGATTGGCTTCTAACTATATTTCAAAAGCTGGGATATGTCACAAAGTTTCTACTTTTGCCATGCGATCTCTTGCAAGTTTAGCTCTACGTGTAACAAATTCTAGGACCTCGCCCTAGTATCTATACTGATAATATATTTTGATTAATTATATACATTAATTCATTCTGTGCTATTTAACTGATTAATAGTGAGCATTTCATGAAGTGCTTTTATACCACTATTATATATCAGAGAAAGATTGAGAATGAATAAGCCAAAAAGAAAATTGTTAGTTTAAATTGTTTTCTTTCTTCCAAGAAAGAAGCCACTTAAATAAGCTTATACTTTGCCAAAGCTGTCATCTTGTAATATATGCTCTAGAAATGACATAAAGGTTTATGGGGAAGCAAAGAGAGATTTTGTGGCAAGAGAACTGCCCTTGCCTCTGTTTTTCTTGTTTTATTCCCTTGATGACCTAGGGAAAAAAAGGCATGTAGAGTATTATGTTTATACTTTAAACTTGATATTTTTAGTGTATTATTTAAAGATAAAGGTTCTTGGGTTTAAAATACATTAGAACTTAATGCAGACATATAAAGTAACATTGAGAATGACAACTAAAACATTCCATTGTTATGGTCCTGAATTTTTTATGCTTCATTTCATGTATTTATTCTTTGTATAATTATAGCATACATGTTATGTAATATAACTTATGAAAAGTACAGTGAATTTTGCTTTATTGCAAAGCTTTAAATATAAATTTCAGAGTGCTTCAGTAAAAAGCTACTATATATTGTTGTTTGTTATTGTGTAGGTAATATTTTCAATTATGAAAGTGAAATGCAAATGTCTGTTATCTAACTACAAATTGTCAGATTTCTTAAAAGGACACTGTCAGGCAAATTTGAAAATATACACATTGAGAATAATTTTTTATTATTATATCCTATTTTAATATTAACAGCTATTATGAACAAAATTTTTCCTGTTAAATAGCGACTTCAGTATTGTGTTATGTTTTACAGCGTTAAAACAACTATGAAGATCTGCAGCTATTCTTTTACTTAACATGCATATGTACTACAGAGGGATTTTTAAATTAATTGCAAAATGTGCATTAGCTATTGACTTAGAGTGAATTGCCTTTTGTATCCTGATTCACAACACCTATTCCTGTTCAGTATTCTTTGTCTTGAATAGAGAAGTCTATGTTCGTAAAGTCATATAAAAGGTTATACCACTATTTAGTAAAAAGTTTTAGTTTGGTGCTGTTAATAATAATTTGCTAAAAGGCCTTTTAGAATATTTCATAAAGGGTTTTAAACAGTTTTTTCCCACTGCCTTTTTATTATTGACATATCTAAAACCAAACTGAAATCGCTTTGGAAATCAGATTTTTTAATGTTAGGAAGATCCAGCAATTTTGGTTTCTGAAAAATTACAAAACTTTTCTACCCTACAGATGCCCAGGTTCTTTAGTTTTTTATTCATTCAACTCACACACACATAAACATATACATACACAAACACAATCCCACATGCAAACACACACAGCCACATATATACATGTGTAGCACAGCGCTAAACACTGTGGAGGCTAAAAAAAGTCAAAGACAACATTATAACTAAAAGTCGAAAGCACACAAAATATAAATAATAGTGTATGCAAGTTAATGTACATTATACATGCGTGTAAGGGACATAAATGGAGGGGTGTGAACTTTGGTTAGGCAAAGTTTACTGGAGGAGGGGTTTTTGAGTCAAATTTGGAAGGATGAACTTGTTAGATAGTCAGAGTTGGAAACAAAACAATCCAAGAATAGGGATATAAGCATTGCTAGTCTAGAATAGTCTATTCCTTGTGAAAATATAAATTTAATTTTCAGGAATCCAGTATATTCCAAACATCACATATTTAGCATGAGAAAAATTGATTTGTGATTGTGTATATGAGTCATTGTTAATGGGAGACAAGCTGAACTGCCACATGCCACCAAATGAACCTTTACTTCAATCAAAAAGGAGGGTATGATTGGTTCAATTATATTAACAGAATATCATGGGCATTTCTCTATGATGGTCATTCAAGGTAGTAGGTCTCTTTCAACTGAGTGCAACATTGAGAATAATGATTTGGTTCAGGGCAACTACAAATAATCACTTACTAAGCCTTAAATAAAGCCATTATTTTTATATCAATAGCACAAAGGAAAACCAAAAGTCCTTAACCACTGACCATTTTTATCATATTTTAGGCCTTTTTTTAAAAAATCAGGGTATAGTAGGCACTAAGTTTTATTAGGAAATATTTAAACCTGCTGAAGGATTTATTTATAAAAAGTGCAATTTTTCAAAACACATTATTATTTTTTAATTTCCCAATTTTTTCAGTTTTTCAAATTGTACCACAACATAGAACTGTGATATTTTGCTATTACTTCAATGTGAATAAATAAGGTAAAGTATATCATTTATTGAGTGCCCATGCTGTACATTTAAAATATGCATTATTTAATTTAATCTTACTCCCAGCACCAAAAGGTAATTGACCAGCCTCAACACAATTTTGGACAAAGCTAGTAACTGAACACAGGTCTGTCTGCCCCACACTTCTCTTTCTCTTGTAACTGCACAATAGCAGAAAATTGGCAAGATGTATTTTTACTTTCCAAGATGCCGTGTGTGCCAAGAATAAATGAAATGATGTTAAAGCATAATAATAACATATCTTTAAAAAGCTTTTCAAAATATATTTTCACCCTGACAGTGACCCTTGTAACTTAAATGATTTTTGGAAATATTAGTATGTAAGTATAATTCAAAGTTGTCAAAATGTAAGACATTTAGAAGTAATTTTTATTATTTATATTGTTAATACTTAATCACTGGAAATTCATTTTCCTTACTCGATGTTTTCTTTCAACTGAGAAGCCTAAAACAAACAAAAACCTTGTGTGTTATCCTGATATAGTTGACTAAATGTATTTGTTCTTATATGGATAGTAATATGAATGTGACATGCACCAATTGTCCTATTATAATTTTCAGATAAGTGTAACTAAGCACTTGTGTAATAAATATTAGTCATTTTATTTCAATCTATAATTGATATTTTTATAACATTAGCAAGTTTCTATTTAATTTCTTGCAAGGATATTTCCTGTATAAAGTGCAGTTTTGAGAAGCTCATGGTCAATAAGATACTAAATTTGTGAGAAAGAATAGAGAACCCAGAAACAGAAAAATACTCATATAAGCCTTTTGTAATTAAGAAGTATGACAATTCAGATCAATGGGTAAAAGATAGACTATTCAATAAATGTTACAATTGTTGATGTGGGAAAAATGGCCCCTGCCATTATAAAAGTAAATTCCAAATGGGTTAAAGACCTAAATGTGAAAATCAGAACCACACATGTATTAAAAGAAATCATATTTAACACCTTGGAATGGGGAAGATCTGCCTTATATAGACACAAAAAGCAAAATTACATCAAAATTTTAAATGTCTTAGAATTTAGATGAAATAAAGTTAAAAAATCACAATTTGTATAACATAAAACAATTTAGCAAATATAAAGAATGCCTACAAATCAGTAAGAAAAAGATAACTACTGTAAGGGATGAAAGACGTTTCTTCTACCCTCTTAAGTTCTATAGTTGGGGCTGTGAATTAAACTGACAAAAGACAGATTAACAGGAGAAAAGCATATGCATACAAATTTTATTTAATGTTAATATTTTTATGTATACACACAGGCCTTCATGAAGACCCATAGAAGAAGATAGGCCTGAGCACTTATATACCGTTTTAACAAAAAATGACAAATTGTGGAGGTGTGACAAGACAAAGGAAAGTGGAGTTTTGGCTAAGGGTGGTAAATTGTGGGAAAGTGAACAGAAAATATATGGGAGAAACCAATGGAAGATAAGGAGTACTTTAGGAGGTTTGTTTATGCAGATTTATTTTGGCATAACTCTTCATCTCCAGTGAGAAGAATGTTCTCTTTATGGTATGGTGGAGAAGGGTACCTCTCTCATGGGAAATGTTATGCCCTGCTTTCGTGTAGTAAGGGGGCATCTGCATTTTCTCAGTTACCTTCAGTTCAAAAATTCAGTATACCAAAATGGCATATTTTGGGGTAGCATGTTCTGATCCCCTTCACTACATACTATAAAAAATGGGTAAATTGGGCCAGGCACAGTGGCTCATGCCTGTAATCCCAGCACTTTGGGAGGCCAAGGCAGGCGGATCATGAGGTCAGGAGTTCAAGAGCAGCCTGACCAACATGGTGAAACCCCGTTTCTACTAAAAATACAGAAGTTAGCCAGGCCTGGTGGTGCATGCCAGTAGTCCCAGCTTCTTGGGAGGCTGAGGCAGGAGAATCGCTTGAACCGGGGAGGCAGAGGTTGCAGTGGACTGAGATCACGCCACTGTACTTCCAGCCTGAGCAAAAGAGTGAGATTCCATCTCAAAAAGAAAAAAAAGGGTGGGGGGTAAATTGTATGAATAGGTTACTCACAGAAGAGGAAAAACAAAGGGTCAATAAACGTATAAAATAACACTGAACCTCACTAGTAACCAGGGAAATGCAAATTAAAATAATGAGATAGTTTAACCAGATTGGTAAATTTTAAGAATATGGAGTACTGGTAAGAGTAAGTGGCTGTTTCATGCTGTGCTGCCAGAAGTATAAAGTGCTGCACCATTTGGGGGGCAATTTTGAAGTACAATTTGGCACCATCAGACTTTGCCTTAAGAAGGGCAGTTTGAATATACACACTGCCCTCTGCTCTTTTCTAAAACTCTTAATAAAATGACAGGAAAGAGATTTTTTAAATGGCATAGACTCCCAGGAACAACAAGAATGGCAAAGGAGACAACAGCAACAACATTTCTGGACACCAAAAAGCAGATGGTGAATGAAAACTGACTTGACAAACCCAAGAAAGCTGAAAACTAGGCCAGGGATGAGGAAAGCCAAGAATTGATCTTATTGTAGCACAAAACCCCATAAAAAGCTTAGAAATTGATATTACTAGGTGACTCTGAGAGGGAGGTTAAAGGTCTTCTTGATTCAAATTTTGTTTGTGATTTAGACCACCAAGTTTCTCCTTTACACCATTAAGCAATTTTCCCCAACTTCAGGGACTATTGAAGTTCAGGACTATTGAACTCCCTGAATATAGATTTGCCATGAGGTAAAGTGTGCTATAGTTTTGGGCCACTGCACTTGGATGAGCCCCTTCCAAGAACCCAGGGGGAGCCTGAGATATGTACTAAAATGGTCTTTTTTTTTTTTTTTTTAAAACAGGGTCTCACTCTGTCACCCAGGCTGTAGTGCATGGATTGATCACAGCTCACTTCAGCCTCAACCTCCAGGACTCAGGTGATACTCCCGCTGCAGCCTCCCAAGTAGCTGGGACTACAGGCATGCACCACCACACCCAGCTAGTTTTTGTATTTTTAGTAGAGATGGGGTTTCACTATGTTGCCCAGGCTGGTCTCGAAATCCTGAGCTCAAGCAGTCTGCCTGCCTTGGCCTCCCAAATTGCTGGGATTATAGTCAGGAGCCACTATGCCTGGTAAGTCTTTTTTTTTTTTTTTTTTTTTTTAATTTGCAAAAGTAAGTTATTTTTGTATTCATTCTCTCAAAGCCCTCAAATCCCATACGCTTCAGGGCCCACAAAACTGAGATCTGCTCCAGGCTAGATAATTTTTAGTTAGAAGGGTAAAACAGTGGATTCTTATTTTGAGGAGACTAAACTTAATATTAAGACTCGGGCCCTATATTGAAAAAAGAGAAATTTGGCAAAGGTTAATATACAACAAAAAGCCGGGCATGGTGGTTCACACCTGTAGTCCCAGGACTTTGGGAGGCTGAGGTGGGTGGATCACCAGAGGTCAGGAGTTCGAGACCAGCTTGGCCAACGTGGTGAAACCCTGTCTCTACCAAAAATACAAAAATTAGCCAGGTGTGGTGGCAGGCGCCTGTAATCCCAGCTACTTGGGTGGCTGAGGCATGAGAATCCCTTGAACCTGGGAGGTGGAGATTGCAGTGAGCTGAGATCATGCCACTGTATTCCAGCCTAGGCGACAGAGCAAAATTCTATCTAAAAAAAACAAAAAAAAGTCTGTATACAAAAGCAAAGACCCACCATTCCCAGACTCTTCTGACATAGTTGAAAGAATGCATGTAGGTAGGATCACACCCTCCCAGCAGAAGGTTGAAAGAGTCATTTTGCAGAAATTTGACTCAAGAACTTCATGATATTGAATCTGGAGTCCCCAAGGAAAGGGCCCAGTGAGATTACCCTATAAGGCAGCTCACAGTTGAGACTCCCTTTCTTGCCCACTCCTACCACAGAAACTCTAAAGTCTTCTACTGATAAGTTTAAGTGTCTATGCCAAAAGCAAACATCCTATGGAAAAAAAATGTAAATAAGTGGAAAACCAACACTAAAGGCATTATGAGAATAAAGTAACGAGATATCGAATTAACGTTAAAAATCGAGAGTTCATTTATACATACAATGAGTTCAGAAATTTTATTTATTTATGTATGTATTTTTTGTTTTTGAGACGGAGTCTCGCTCTGTCGCCAGGCTGGAGTGCAGTGGTGCGATCTCGGCTCACTGTAACCTCCGCCTCCCAGGTTTAAGTGATTCTCCTGCCTCAGCCTCCTGAGTAGCTGGGACTACAGGCGTGTGTCACCAGGCCTGGCTAATTGTTGTATTTTTAGTAGAGACAGGGTTTCACCATGATGGCCAGGATGGTCTCGATCTCTTGACCTCGTGATCTGCCTGCCTTGGTCTCCCAAAATGCTGGGATTACAGGTGTGATCCATCGTGCCTGGCCCAAAAATATTATTTATAATATATAATAAAGCATATACTTATAATAATTTTTCAAATACCTAGGCACAAATAAAAAATGTTCAACATTATTTACAGAAAACTATGTTAAGAAAAACAACAAATACTATGTATTAATATTTGGATAGGAATATTGAGAAACAATTCTCCATGGGGTCTCTCACATTTCTGTGCATCTTGCAAACAAGCACTGACTACTTTTGTTCCATATGTTAAATTTTTTAAAATTATAAAAGCATAATTCTCACACCATTAAATTCATCCGTTAAAGAGTACAATTTGGTGGTTTTAAGTATATTCACAGATGTGTGCAACCAACACCATTACCTAATTCCAGAACATTTTTATTGCCCTCAAAGAAACCCTGTACCTATTAGTAATCACTACCAATTCTCCTTTACCCTCAGTTCCTGGAAACCACGCCTACTTTTTGTCTCTAGGGATTTGCCTATGCTGGGAATTCCAGATAAATGGAATTATATGGTCTTGTGAGTTTAGATTCTTTTACTTAGCATAATGTTTTCAAGATTCATCCATGTCGTAGCATGTATCAGTAGTTCTTTTTGTTGATGAATATTTCCTTGTGTAATATACCACATTTTGAATATCCATTCATCAATTAATGGACATTTCAGTTGTTTCTACTTTTTGACTATTATGAATAATGCTGTTATGAACATTCAAGAATAATTTTTGTGTATTCATATATTTTCAATTCTCTTAGTTCTATACCTGGACGTGGAGCTGTTGGGTCATAGTAGCTCTAACATTTCATTTTTTGAAGAATTGCCGAACTCTTTTGCAAAGTGGCTGTCCCATTTTATATTCCCCACCAGCAATGTATGATGGTTACAATTTCTCCATAGCCTCACCAGCACTCATTATTTTGCATCTTTTTTATTATACTATCTGCTATGATGTGAATATTTGTCCACTCTAAAACTCATGTTGAAATTTAATTGCCATGGTAACAGTATTAAGAGGTGGGACTTGTCCAGGCAAGGTGTCTCGCACCTGTAATCCCAGCACTTTGAGAAGCCGAGGTAGGCAGATCACCTGAGATCAGGAGTTTGAGACCAGCCTGGGCAACATGGTGAAACCCCGTCTCTACTAAAAATACAAAAATTAGTTGGGCGTTGTGGCGTGCCCCTGTAGTCCCAGCTACTCGGGAGGCTGAGGCAGGAGAATTGCTTGAACCCGGGAAATGGAGGTTGCAGTGAGCCGAGATTGGGCCGGATGGTGCCATTGCACTCCAACTTGGGCAACAAGAGAATAAGAAGTCTCAAAAAAAAAAAAAAAAAAAAAAGAGGTGGGATCTTTAGGAAGTGATTAGGCAATGAGAGCTTAACTCTTACGGGGAGGATTGGTGCCTATATAAAAGGGAGGGTTCACCCCTCTCTGACTCCGTCTTGGCCTTCCACCTTCCACCATGAGGTGATGCAGCAAGAAGACCCTTGTCAAATGCTAGCCCCTTGACCTTGGACTCTTAGCCTCCAGAACTGTTAGTGAATAACTTTCTGTGCATTATAAATTACCTAGTCTTAGGTACTATGTTACAACAACAAAAATAAAGACACCATGTTATTGAGCATGAGATTTTGATTGTAGTTTTGATTTGCCTTTTCCTATTGGCTAAAAATGTCGAGCATTTTTATATGCTCATTGGCCATTTGTATATTCCCTTTGAAGGAACAACTAGTCAAATCTTTTGCCCATTTTAATTTTAATAGGATTATCTTTGGTTGCATTTAAGAGATTCTTGCATATCCTGCATACTAGCTCTTTACAAATATATGGATTTAAAATATTTTCTCTCATTGTACAGATTATCTTTTCACTTTCTTGGTAGTGTCCTTTGAAACACAGAAGTTTTTAATTTGGATGAAGTCAAATTTATCTAGATTTTGGGGGGCTACTTGTGCTTTTCATAACATAGCTAAGAAAGTGTTGTCTAATCCAAAGTCATGAAGATTCATGCCTATGTTTTCTTTTGCAAGGTTTATGGTTTCAGCCATTACATTTAGTTTTTTGATCCATTTTGGGTTATTTTTTTGTATATGATGTGAGGTAGGGGGTTTGACTTCCTTCTTTTGCAAGAGTATATCCAGTTGTCCAATCTCCATTTGTTTGAAAGTGTTCTTTCTCATTATTGTCTTTATACCCTAGTCAAAAATCAGTTTTTTTATGGCTGGGCATTGTGGCTCATGCCTGTAATCCTAGCACTTTGGGAGGTCAAGGTAGGTGGATTGCTTGAGCTCTGAAGTTTGAGACCAACCTGGGCACATGGTGAAACCCCATCTCTACAAAAAAATTAGCTGGGTGTGGTGGCACATGCCTGCAGTGCCAGCTACTTGGGAGGCTGAGGTGGGAGAATCATCTAGGGTGGGGGAGGTTGAGGCTTCAGTGAGCTGTGATTACACCACTGCACTCCAGCTTGGGTGACAGAATGAGACCCTATCTCAAAAAAAAATTTTTTTTTTAGACGGAGTCTCACTCTTTCGCCCAAGCTGGAGTGCAGTGGTGTGATCTTGGCTCACTGCAACCTCCACCTCCGGGGCTCAAGCAATTCTCATGCCTCAGCCTCCTGAGTAGCTGGGATTACAGGTACGTGCCACCACACACGGCTAATTTTTTGTATTTTAGTAGACACAGGATTTCACCATGTTGCCCAGGGTGGTCTCAAACCCCTGAGCTCAGGCTTGGCCTCCGAAACCCCTGCCTGCCTTGGCCTCCCAAAGTGCTGGGATTATAGGCATAAGCCACTGCGCCCAGCCTAAAAAAATTTTTTTAATCACTTTTTTAGCTAGGCATGGTGGTAAGCACTTGAAGTCCCAGCTACTTAGGAGGTTGAGGGGAGGAGGATCCCTTTAGCCCAGGAATTCAAGGTCAGTCTGGGCAACATAGTGTGACTCTGTCTCTAAAATAAGAATGGAAAAAAATTCATATTTTCAAAGATGGCTGTATAGTGAATAGTTTTCAAAAATAGAGATGGTGTCTCCCTCCAGAGCAAAGGGTGTATTTTCTTAACGTCCAATATAAAAACACTGGGTTTCCTAAGCTTATATATATATATTTTTTCCTTTTTAGCAACTCCCTACATGTGCCAGTGTCACCTTGCCCTCTTCACATCACCTTGTGGCCATTGGAATTCAGGAAACCAGTGCAAGAACATTCTAATACCCTAGCTACTAACTGCTGTAATGAAATCCTTTGTCTCCGACCCAGACATTTCTTGTTTTCGACCAGCATCCATAAACTGTGGTAGGCTTACTAGTTAACTTGTAAGTAGGGCAAAATTTTGTACTCTTCATAGTTTTAGACAAGGATAATTCTGTATTATAAAGATATCAATCTTTTAAGTCACTTTATGAATTTAATATGATACCATAAAATTGCTACCTTTTTTTTTTCTAGACCTTAACAAGTTAATGATAAAGATCATTAGGAAAAACAAACAAGCAAAAATAGCCAGAAAAATGGCCGGGCCTGCAGTGGCTCACGCCTGTAATCCCAGCACTTTGGGAGGCCAAGGCCAGTGGATCACTTGAGGTCTGGAGTTCGAGGCCAGCCTGGCCAACATGATGAAACCCCGTCTCTACCAAAAATACAAAAATTAGCGGGGCGTGGGGGCACGCACCTGTAATCCCAACTACTTGAGAGGCTGAGACAAAAGAATCGCTTGACCCCGGGAGGCGGAGGTTTGCAGTGAGCCAAGATGGCGCCACTGCACTCCAGCCTGGACGACAGAGTGAGACTCCGTCTCAAAAAAAAAAACAAAACAAAAACAGGCCGGGCACGGTGGCTCACACTTGTAATCCCAGCACTTTGGGAGGCCAAGGCGGGTGGAGCACCTGAGGTCACGAGTTCGAGACCAGCCTGAGCAACGTGGCGAAACTCTGTCTCTACTAAAAATACAAAAATTAGCTGGGTGTGGCAGCGTGTGCCTGTAGTCTCAGCTACTCGGGAGGCTGCGACAGGAGAATCACTTGAACCCGTGAGGCGGAGGTTGTGGTGAGCCAAGATCGCGCCATTGCACTCCAGCCTGGGCAACAAGAGCGAAACTCCGTCTCAAAAAAACAAACAAACACAATAGCTAGAAAGACCATGCTAAGGAAGAATAAATATAAGGGGTCCTGTCTTATCATATTACAAATTCTGTAAAATTAAAACATTATGGTATTGTCGCATGAACAGAATTGATCAAACAAAATGTAAAAATTTATAAATAGATACAATTATTATATTGATTAGTGTACAATAAAGGTAGTACTTTAAATTAGCAAAGGAAAACATAAATTTTTCAGTACGTGCTCTTGGGATAGCAGTGAAATGGAAAAAGATAAAATCAGATTCATTCTTCTCAAGAGATTTAAATGTAAAATAATAAAACCATATATGTTTCAAAAAAAAAACAGAAGCAAACTCCTGTATAACTTGTGGATATGAAAAATTTTTCTGATCTTATTCCAAATACTAGCAATAAAATAAGAAATTAATACACTTGCATACATTAAAAATATTTTTTAATTTTGCATGACAAAAAGACCATAAACAAAGCAAAAATATAAGTAACAAACTGGAAAAGATTATTTTCAGCTTATGCCACAAAAGGTTAATACCTAGATTGTCTAGACACTTAAATGCCAGTTTATAGAAAACATAAAGCATAGAGTAACATGTTAAATGGCATCATCAAAATGTAATCAGCAAAGTTCATAATGTGGAAAACTGTAAGATAAACATAATGGTTTCTTCAACAAATAAACTAGAGGACAAGAAGGACAGAGGAAAAAGGAACCCATGTAGTTTTAAAGGCTTAAAAAACATTTAAATGGAATGCAAAATTTGCAGGTTTGGATAGTATTTAGATCCTGATTCAAACAAACCAGTATAACAACAAAAGAAGAAGAGGAGGAGGCAGAGGAAAAAGAAAAAATAAAACGTGGAGAAATGCAAATGCTGACTTGATCATTTGAGACTATCACAAATGTATTTTTTTGTGTGTTTTTTTTAGTCATGGTTAAACCATTACAGTTTTGAAAAAAAGTTATTTTGGAGATACATATTAAATTGTTTACAAATGAAAGGATATCTCTCTCAGATTTGCTACAAAATGTGGGTATAACAGGCTGGCTCCGTGGCTCATGCCTGTAATCCCAGCACTTTGGGAGGCCAAAGCTGGAGGATAGTTTGAGCCCAGGAGTTCAACACCAGCTGGGCAACATAGCAAGACCTCATCTCTACAAAAAAAAAAAAAAAAAAAATTAGCTGGGCATAATGACACATACCCGTGGTCCTAGCTACTTAGTAGGCTAGAGGTTGAGGCTGCAGTGAGCTGTGATTGTGCCACTGCAATCCAGCACTCACTCCAGAGTGAGTCCCCTGTTTCAGGAAAAAAAAAAAAAAAAAGATGTAACAAAGATGAAACAAACTAGCTATGCAGTTGTAAATATTAAACTGGATGATAGATACATGGGATTTATTACATTACATTCTCTTACATATATTTGAAATTTTCAATAATAACAAGTTTTAAAAAATGTAAATAGCAAAAAAGCATATATCAAACACTGATATAACCAGAAATTTTTATGTAACTCTGGGGAAGATAGTAGGAAGCGTTGTCAGATGAGTGCTAAATTTACATCTATTACAATAGTATATCAACACGTAACCTGTAAAAACATAAACCATAAATTGCAAGATAAGTAAATATCTTAAAATGTCTTAAGGACTCTAAACTAGTTTCCTCTGGAAAGTAAGATTTATAGGTGGGCAGGAATAAGGCAAAGAGTTGCTGGTTTTTGATTTTTGCCATTGTTATTAGTATTTGATGTTTTAATAGAGTATTATTTTGATGAAGATTAAAAGGAATTCTTGTTAATTTTTAAGGCAAGATAAAGATATTGTGGTTATATAAAAATATACAGCATGCATTTTTTAGACAACCATACCAAAAACAATAATGTAATGTGTGGTCTGGGATTTACTTCAGAACTATTCAAAGTGGGAGGAGAGTTGGGAAAGCATTGGGAGTATAGAAAAAACAAAATTGTGAGTTGATAATTGTTGAAGCTGAATGATAGATCCATGTGGGCTCATTATACTATTCTACTTTTGTATAGATTTAAATTTTTAAAGAAAGGAATACTTTAATAAATATATTATTAATCTCCTCAAAGGTAAGACAAAAGTTGGCATCCATAAAAGAACAGAATGGTGTATAAATAAGCAACAAAAAGAAAAAATAACTCTTAAAAAAGATGATAGTAGAAACTTTATAGATATTTTGGACAATATGGTTGAAAAAAACTTTCTAGAAAGTAAACCAAGGAATGGAAAATAGGACGGAGGTGATAAGTAAATCAGAGTATCAGTCCAGGAGGCCCAAGATTCAAATAGTAAGTATCCTAAAAAGCAAGAAAAGAGAAAACAAAGGGGAAAATATTATCAGTGAAATTATTCAGAAGCATTTATGAGAGTACAAAATATGAATTTCTAGACTGAAAGGACTGCCTACAAAATGAAGATGGATACACACCAAGATACAAGCCATGAAATTTAAGAACACTAGATACAGACAAAAGACTCAACAAGCTTCCAGTTTTTGTGGGGGGGGGGTGCCAGGAATGGGGGTAGAGTTAGACTTTATTTAAAAGATAAAGAATTAGAATGACTTTAGAGTCCTCAAAAGTTACCCTGGATGCTAGAAGACAATGGAGGAATTATTTATTAAAAATTTGAGGCCAGGTGTGGTGGCTCACGCCTGTAATCCCAGCACTCTGGGAGGCCAAGGTGGGCAGATCACGAGGTCAGGAGATCTAGACCATCCTGGCTAATACAGTGAAACCCGGTCTCTACTAAAAAAAAAATACAAAAAATTAGCCAGGCATGGTGGCAGGTGCCTGTAGTCCCAGCTACTCGGGAGGCTGAGGCAGGAGAATGGTGTGAACCTGGGAGGTGGAGCTTGCAGTGAGCCGAGATTGCACCACTGCACTCCAGCCTGGGCAACAGAGTGAGACTCCCTCTCAAAAAAAAAAAAAAAAGTTTTGAGGCAAATGCTTTTCAACTTTGAACTATATACCCAGCCAAACTATCAGTCAAGTGTGAGGGTAGAACAAAAACTTTTATATACTGGAATGCCTTCTACTGAAACAACAGAGTAAACTTTAAAATGTGAAGAAATATGATTTAAGGCACATGGTTTCAACACAAAAGCAAGACAAAGGCATTGCCAATATAATGTTGAAAGAGCTTCTCAAACCACAGGAATCTAGAAACCAGCCCAGTTGTACTGGAGCAGATCAAATGGCTCTAGGAGAAACTTCTTCAAGATGATGAAACTATTAGAATACTACTTAAGATATTTATTTAACCATATTAAGAAGAGATTTACATACCTGGAGAATATTTGGATGATGAAGTAGTGATAAATGCATAGAAAATTGAGCATATAAAAAAGATAGTGGCCGGGCGCGGTGGCTCATGCCTGTAATCCCACAACTTTGGGAGGCCGAGGTGGGCAGATCACAAGGTCAGGAGATCGAGACCATCCTGGCTAACACAGTGAAACCCCCATCTCTACCAGCCTGACCAATATGGTGAAACCCGATCTCTAGTACAGATACAAAAAATTAGCCGTATACGGTGGCGGGCGCCTGTAATCCCAGCTTCTGGGGAGCCAGAGACAGTAGAATTGCTTGAACCTGTGAGGTGGAGGTTGCAGTGAGCCAAGATCACGCCACTGCGCTCCAGCCTGGGTGAGAGCGCGAGACTCCATCTCAAAAAAGAAAAAAAAAATTAGAATCTAATTTAATTTTCTGCATGTAGATACCCAGTTTTCTCAAGACCATTTGCTGAAGAGATTATTTTTTTCCCATAATGTATTTTTGAAGCCTGTGCAAAGATTAGTTACCGTATATGCATGGGTTTCTTTTGTGCCAGTGGTCTGTGAATCTGTTTTAATGCCAGTGCAATACTGTTTTGTTTGCTAGAGCTTTCTAATATAATCTGAAATCAGGAAGTTGTGTTCTTGCTCAGGATTGCTTTAGCAACTCAGGGTTTTTTTGTGGTTCCATATGAATTTTGGGATTATTTTTTCTGTTTCTGTGAAAAGTACCATTGGAATTTTGATAGAGATTGCACTGAATCTGTATATTACTTTGGGTAGTATGGACATTTTTACAATGTTGATTTTTCCAATCTATTGAGGCTGAATATCTTTTTATTTATTGATGTCTTCTTCAATTTATTTAATATTTCATAGTTTTCAATTTACAGATTTTTCACCTCCTTGGTTAAATTTAATCCTAAGTATTTTACTTTTAATGCTATTGCACATGGGATTCTTTTCTTAATTTCTTTTTTGATAGTTCATTGTTAGTGAATAGCAATGCAACTGATTTTTGTATGTTGATTTTGTATCCTGCAACTTTACTGAATTTGTTTATTAGTTTGGTTTTTCAGTGGAGTCTTTTGAGTTTTCTATATATAAGATTGTGTCATCTGCAAAGAGAGACAATTTTCCTTTTTCCTTTCCTATTTGGATGACTTCTTTTTCTTGCCTAATTGCTCTGGCTAAAAATTTTGGTCCCTCCTCTTCCAGTTTCTTCCTTTTCAACTTTTTGGAAGAATTTGAGAAGGACTGGTATTAATTCTTCTTTAAATGTTTGGTAGAAATCAGCAATGAGGCTGGGCATGGTGGGTCACACCTAGAATCCCAGCATTTTGGGAGGCTGAAACCGGCAGATCACCTGAGCTCAGGAGTTTGAGACTAGCCTGGGCAACATGGTGAAAACCTGCCTCTACAAAAAAAAAAAAAAAAAAAAAAAAAAATTAGCCAGGTGTGGTGGCGCATGCCTGTACTCCCAACTACTTGGGAGGCTGACATGGGAGCATCCCTTGAGCCAGGAGGCGGAGGTTGCAATGAGCCAAGATGGCACCATTGCACTCCAGCCTGGGCAACAGAGTGAGAAAAAAAAAAACAAAACCTGGTCATTTCAAGAGCATCTGAAGAAAGAAGAAGGAAGGGGAGGCGAGGGGAAGGAAGGGGAGGGGAGGGGAGTGGAGGGGAGGGGAGGGGAGAGGAGGGCAAACCAACAATGAAATCGTGTGGTAGGAAAATCCAATCAAGGTGCCAACAGATTTGGTGTCTGGTGAAAGCTTATTTCCTAGTTTACAGACTGCCATCTTCTCACTGTAACCTCACATGACGAAGGGAGAGAAAGAGCTCTCTGGTGTCCCTTGTAGAAAATCACTAATCCCACTCATGAGGGCTCCACTCTCATTACCTAATCACTATGCAAAGGCCTCATCTTTAAATACCATCACACTGGAGGTTAGATTTCAACATAAGAATTTTGGAGGGGACTCAGACATTCAGTCTATAGTATAACTTTCTTGATTTCCCTACTTTTCTGATAGGTATCCAGAGCTGAATGCTCAGTTATCCTGTCTCTTTCCTATTAAAAATGTCATCATCTTTCCGATGTCTGTCAAGCTTGTCTGTTACTTTGCATCACTCTACCTTCAGTCTATTTCAGGATTCTATCAGCTCACACATGGATTACTATAGAAACCTCCTACTATGCTTCATATCCTTTCTCTCTCTCTCTCTCTGACTCCTCTCTCTCCATCTCTCCAATCCTGAACACTACAATTTGAATAATTTCCCTCAAATACCAGTTTTAACAGATATTCCTCAGCTCAGTATACTTTTATATATGAGTAGGTTGCAAAAATTTTCTCCCATGTTGTAGGTTGCCTGTTCACTCTGATGGTAGTTTCTTTTGCTGTGCAGAAGCTCTTTAGTTTAATTAGATCCCATTTGTCAATTTTGGCTTTGGTTGCCATTGCTTTTGGTGTTTTGGACATGAAGTCCTTGCCCATGCCTATGTCCTGAATGGTAATGCCTAGGTTTTCTTCTAGGGTTTTTATGGTTTTAGGTCTAACGTTTAAATCTTTAATCCATCTTGAATTGATTTTTGTATAAGGTGTAAGGAAGGGATCCAGTTTCAGCTTTCTACATATGGCTAGCCAGTTTTCCCAGCACCATTTATTAAATAGGGAATCCTTTCCCCATTGCTTGTTTTTCTCAGGTTTGTCAAAGATCAGATAGTTGTAGGTACGCGGCGTTATTTCTGAGGGCTCTGTTCTGTTCCATTGATCTATATCTCTGTTTTGGTACCAGTACCGTGCTGTTTTGGTTACTGTAGCCTTGTAGTATAGTTTGAAGTCAGGTAGTGTGATGCCTCCAGCTTTGTTCTTTTGGCTTAGGATTGACTTGGCGATGCGGGCTCTTTTTTGGTTCCATATGAACTTTAAAGTAGTTTTTTCCAATTCTGTGAAGAAAGTCTTTGGTAGCTTGATGGGGATGGCATTGAATCTGTAGATTACCTTGGGCAGTATGGCCATTTTCACGATATTGATTCTTCCTACCCATGAGCATGGAATGTTCTTCCATTTGTTTGTATCCTCTTTTATTTCCTACTCATCTGACAAAGGGCTAATATCCAGAATCTACAATGAACTCAAACAAATTTACAAGAAAAAAACAAACAACCCCATCAAAAAGTGGGCGAGGGACATAAACAGACACTTCTCAAAAGAAGACATTTATGCAGCCAAAAAACACATGAAAAAATGCTCATCATCACTGGCCGTCAGAGAAATGCAAATCAAAACCACTATGAGATATCATCTCACACCAGTTAGAATGGCAATCATTAAAAAGTCAGGAAACAACAGGTGCTGGAGAGGATGTGGAGAAATAGGAACACTTTTACACTGTTGGTGGGACTGTAAACTAGTTCAACCATTGTGGAAGTCAGTGTGGCGATTCCTCAGGGATCTAGAACTAGAAATACCATTTGACCCAGCCATCCCATTACTGGGTATATACCCAAATGACTATAAATCATGCTGCTATAAAGACACATGCACACGTATGTTTATTGCGGCATTATTCACAATAGCAAAGACTTGGAACCAACCCAAATGTCCAACAATGATAGACTGGATTAAGAAAATGTGGCACATATACACCATGGAATACTATGCAGCCATAAAAAATGATGAGTTCATGTCCTTTGTAGGGACATGGATGAAATTGGAAACCATCATTCTCAGTAAACTATCGCAAGAACAAAAAACCAAACACCACATATTCTCACTCATAGGTGGGAATTGAACAATGAGATCACATGGACACAGGAAGGGGAATATCACACTCTGGGGACTGTGGTGGGGAGTGGGGAGGGGGGAGGGATAGCATTGGGAGATATACCTAATGCTAGATGACGAGTTAGTGGGTGCAGCGCACCAGCATGGCACATGTATACATATGTAACTAACCTGCACAATGTGCACATGTACCCTAAAACTTAAAGTATAATTAAAATAATAATAATAATAACAGTAATAATAAAAAAAATTTATATATTTATTTACTGATGATAAAAACTAATGTGAAAGGAAACTTGTTATTAGAGGTAGAGAAGTTGAGGAGTCTATTTGTTCTTATTGTTGTACTCTAAGTTCATAGCAAAATATAATGAAATTTAATGATCTGTAACATAATTGTTCATGTAGTTGATATAATTAGATATGATTATAAAGCTACTTGCCAGTAGAAGATTGTGGCAAAAAAGATGATTTTTTAAAAATAAAAACTATATTTTATACTTATATATGCATCTTCTATAATTAATTTAAATTCTTATTCATTTATAATAAATACAAAATGGTGAAAAGAAAAAAGGTAACTGAATCATTGATGAAAGAATCAAAGAAAAACACATTTATATTGAGGTAAATTGTTTCCATTGACCTAGTTATCTTATTTGAAGCTTTAAAAAAATCTGACCATTAAATAGATAATACAATGAGATAGTTTTTAAATATTAAAATGATACTATTTCTTATAGCTAAAAATGCAAAAATTGTAACTTTTTTTTTTTTGAGACAAAGTTTTGGTTTTGCTGCCTAGGCTAGAGTGCAATGACATGATCTCAGCTCACTGCAACCTCCACCTCCCGGGTTCAAGCAATTCTCCTGCCTCAGCCTCCCGAGTAGCTGGGATTACAGGCACCTGCCACCATGCCCAGCTAATTTTTGTATTTTTAGTAGAGATAGGGTTTCAACATGTTGGCCAGGCTGGTCTCAAACTTCTGACCTCAGGTGATCCGCCTGCCTCGGCCTCCCAAAGTGCCAGGATTACAGGCATGAGCCACTGTGCCCAGCCTGTAACCTTTAAATGTAGGCCTAGGAGCCACCACAACTTTGATATTTTTAATGAAAATATATGATGTGGAGAGAATTACATCAGAAATGCCAAGGAAGACTCAACTTGACCCTAAGGTTCCACTTCATCTGTTTTTTTAGCAACATTTTAATTTAACCTTCAGCATCATGATGGTACAAAGCACTGAGAATCAGCTGTAAAAATCACCATAGAGACCACAGCATGTTCTCAGGTCACAAAAATGAGGTCTCTCCATTCTGCCAAAGAAGTTTCCTGCATCTGGCAGTGCTGCAGGTAGCAGACAGGGATTATCCATTGCGTGATTGTAAGTAGCAAATATACACAAATCAGCACTAATAAAGGACAAGTTTATCAAGAGGACAAAACTGGTCACTTCAAAAGCATCCGAAGAAATAAAATATAGTTGGTCCACCTGGAAAATGAAAAAAAAAGTTTTAAAACCTCAATACTTCCTTTCATCTCTCTCCGAGTGGCACGGCCCTGATTCTCTCTGTACTTCTGGGCATCTCTTTGCCCCCATAAATTATCTTGGACTTGGCTTTGGTTTGCTGTCCTTTGTCAGGTCTTGCCCTGAGCTTTCAGTTCAAGTACTTAGCATTGTCTGACTCGTCGGCTCAATGTCCATGTTCAGCATCTCAAGAAAAAGAATCTGATTGGTTCAGTTTAGGTCAGGGTTCTCCAAGTGGCCTAATAGACAGTGATAGTGGGAGAGACTTTAGTATACATCTTTACAGAAACTGTGACCAGTGAAAATACACTTTCTATTATCCAAAGTTTTGTGAAATCCTTAGGTAGTAAAGGAGTAAAGCAGGCTGTGGTGATAATATATTCCCAGTTCCATTCTGGAATTTTACCATTAATAATTCAATCACACCTTTACTTCTCCACTGATTTTACGAAATTAAGACACACACACACATACACACACATGTACAATGTCTGAGTTATAAAACAGTTGACAGAAAATTAAAGTTGTTATATTAATCGTTGACCTACTATAAGAATGAGAACCCAATTAGCAAATATTTATTGGTTCCCTTAAGTGAGCTCAGCACTGACAGCATTGGAGTGGAGGATGAGAATAACAAATGATGAAACTGATACTCAATTTTTTTGAGTGTCAGTAAACAAATGATAAAATTGATAATTGATACTCTTTAATACTCAAGTTTTTCCTAAGTCATGAGAATTCCCAACTCCCAAAGGACCCACCGTTTGTGGTGGTTCCCAGTTGGCTCATAGCTATATTCTCTCTATAGCCTATATATTCTTACTGTTTGCCTGCCCATTACTGCTGCTCAATTCTTGCCACTTCTCCAATTACACTCTTACTTCTCAGAACTTTCCCCTTCAACTGACTTTAAATGGAAGAGGGTTTCTAGAAAACGTCCTTAGGCAGATTTTTGTGAGGGCAAGGAAGACACATAGTTGCCTGTTTGGGAGGTTGAATAAATTATCTCTGACTTGGATCACTATTCTAAATGGGATGTGGTGCCACTCAATATTCTCAAATCTGGAAATGTGTCCCACTTTCTCCAGAGACTAGATTTGGAAATAAGAGAACACAGTACATCTTGCGAACTGTGAAAAGGTCAAAGTTTGCAAACTCAAATGCTTTGAAGACGAAAGCAGATAAGTAAAATGAGTAAAGCTAGCTGGATATAATATATCACATGGTATGGGAACCATAAAAACTTGGTAGTAATTCTGAGGTAGAAAATGCATTTTGGGTACAGTGACTATAGTTTTTCCATGCAGTGTGTAAAATCTTCTGTGGTAGAGAAAATCCATCAGAAGTGTTATCTGCTCTGCAAACCTTCCTTCCTTCTACCCTTGGCTGTGTTTTTTTATCCACAAACAGCAAAAATAAGTTTTAGAGAAAGTGAAATTAGATGAGAAAGGAAAAAAATTAGTGGAAAGAAATGAAGACAGATTCATGAGCCCTGGTTCACCTGTGTCTTCCTGTATGAAGTATCTTTACAGGCCTAAAATCTTGGAAGTTTGCGGGCTCCAAAGTGAAGCCATTCTTTTTCCACCTCGGTGACCCAGTGACTTTCTTTTTTTTTTTTTTTTTTTTTTTTGAGAGAGAGTCTCGCTCTGTCGCCCAGGCTGGAGTGCAGTGGCTGCGATCTTGGCTCACTGCAACCTCCGCGTCCCGGGTTCACGCCATTCTCCTTTTCTTTTTTAAGAATTGAGGAATTGCAATTTGGTAGCTGAGATAAGAGCTTTCAAGAAAACAAATGTTTTCTTTAAGAGCCATTTGTCTAGTTCATTCACAAAGAAACAAAGCTATTGCCATCTAGTGGTTTAACTCAAGAAATTCAGTAAAGCAAGTTTTTCCATGAAGTTTCACATTAATATTTTCGTGTGGCCCTGAATATAAAAACATTTGTTTGTAGAAAGCAATTCTTAATACACTTTTTCAAATTAAGGATTCAGACTTGGCCACTTAGCTCTTTCTTTTCAAGTTATATTCTCTATTAAGTAGGATTTGAATTAAAACACACAAAAACCTCATAATTGAAAAAAAATTAATGAAAGATGATGTTACACTGAAGAAATTGCCAGATATTAGACAGCCAAAACCAAATAATAAAATTAAATTAATGGTGAAATTAATAGTTCTAACAAAATTTTAAAGGGAACTTTATAAAATAAATAGGTATATGTTATATACAGTTATATAACAATGTTTTCTAAAATATAGTCTAAAACTACATACAGTCCCTTGCTTTTGTTAAATACACTATTATAGCAAAATTGGCTACAAAAGTATATTTTATTAAATATTAATTTATCATTGACTTTTATTATAAAATTTAAAATGTATTTCTATAACACTATCCAATCTAAAAACCTTTGACATTTATACTTATAAAAATTACATCTGGAAGTCCAGAAACATTTTATTTATAGGTAAACTCAGAAAATTCACAGGTATCATTTACTTTCTGCATGGGTATAAGTTTTTGCAGTACTAAGTAAAATGGAATCACTCTATTCTATAGAACGATTTTATTTCTAATAACGGCATGAGAGACAAGAGCTCCCATAGATGTCTGGACTCCATCTGACCATGAAAAATATTTTCCCAGGTTCTCCTTGGACATTTCAGATCACCATTAGCTCAAGTATTGTCAAGAGAAAACTATTTTTTTTTCAATTCCTGAGTATTCTGATACCACTTTTAAAGCAATTTTTTTCACTTTGGAGACTATAATAGCTTAAACGGAATTAAACAGAATAGAGTTTAATTCTCATCCTTGGTCTAGAGAGTACCATAGTGGAATATATCCAGCATGAGACAAACAAGATGCCAAGTCTTTTCTAGAGTAATCTAGACTTTCTAGTAGTCTTCTAGAGTAGATATACAAGTTTAAAGGGGAGATGAACTAAACAGAGGAACAAAGAGGCTCACTTTATGATTCCCGTGTAAAATAATAAAACCCTTTATTCTGAAAACAGTCTGGGCCAAAGACTGCCATGACACCCTGGATAGTTTATGGTAAAGGGAGGAAGGTGTATACTTGTCCTCACCCTGCAGCCCCCTCCATTGTTGTCAGGGTTCAGGTAACTACAGAGCCTGCTGTGGAAAGTAAGAACAGACTCGAGGTCTGGAGTAAGATTTGATTTTGTCATCTAGTAAGAAGGCAACATGCAACATGTGAGCTCACACAAGTCAAAGTTGGATGACCATACTCCCAATTTCTTGGTTAAATATGCAGTCTACCTTTATATTCACAAGAGGAAGGAAAAAAAAAGACAGTGGATTTTTCTTTAGGTATGTTAAGTTACTAGGCAAGCCAATCAAGGCAAAATATTGTAACGCTGCCAAACTTCAAGAGCTATTTGTAAAGTGTGCTGATAACCTCTTTTGAAACAGGTCATGGTATTTGTCTAGAGGAAATAAGTCATAAGGGTGTAGGTGTATCTGTTTGTAAAAATGCCATCCTTTTCTCTAAATTATACAATCTATAGTTGTGTTTATTACAGGGGATACTTTCTTCTTCAAAATCTCATTAAAAATACAGAGCATGGCTCCTTCCCACTCAAATAATGAATTTGAATCTTTGGGATTGGGGTTCAAACATCTCTATTTCTAGCAAGCTCTCCAGGTCATTCTGATGTGTCTAAGAACCACTCTTCTAGACTTCATTACCAAAACCAATAAGACTAAATACTTAAAAAAGATTTTAAGGCAATCAAGGGTGAAAAAGTAGAACAACAGGTCTTATTTAATAACCACTTAGCTGGAGGACTGGCAGATCAACAATGAGATACCCAAATTACAATACCATCTGTGCAGGGAAGCATTCTTTAATAAGTCTTATTACCACATGTGGCAACCTGATAAAATCTCTGTGAAAGAGTGGAAATATTCCAGACAAGTAATTTCATTTATTAATTCAAGTGTTATTTATTGAGTATCAGGTACATGCTAGGAGCTATGTTAGGCACTGGAATTACAAGGAGAAAAGGTCCTTCCCTTTAGGAAGCACTTATTGTAAAAAACTGTTTTTAGACTTCAGTGTGGATAAAAATCACTTTGCATACTTTTTATGAATGCAGACTCTTGGTATCTAATTATGAAGAATGATAGTTTAATTAGTAAGACATAAAGTAAGCCAATACTGATAATACAAGTGGTAGGTTTTGAGATATACAAGCTAGGCATGGTGGCTCACACCTGTAATCCCAGCACTTTGCAAGGCAGAGGTGGGAGGATCACTTGAACCCAGGAGTTCGAGATCAGCATGGGCAACATGACAAAACTCCATCTCTACAAAAAAATACAAAAATTAGCCGAGTGTGGTGTTGCATGCCTGTAGTCCCAGCTATTCTGGTAGCTGAGGCAGAGGGATCACTTGAGCCTGGGAGGTAGAGGTTGCAGTGAGCCATGATGGTGTCACTAAACTCTAGCCCGAGTGACAGAGTGAGACACTGTCAAAAAAAAAAAAAAAAAAAGATATACAAAGATGGTCATTTGATCGCCTATCCAGATCAAGAGGGAAGGGGAAATATCAGGGATCGTTTTTTGTAGAAGATGATAACAATTTGAATTCCTTAATGAAAACTAGGAGCTTTCTAGATGAAAAAAGGTGGGAGTCAGGCAATGGCAGTGAATGATGAGAAAATGTACCATACATTAGGCACTAAATCTTATGTCTGGGTGTGGAAGTTGAAGGTAAAGTACAGTGCAGATAGGATGGGTAAATAAGCAGGACCAGGTTATGAGGAGTCTTGTGTCCTAAAGAGTTTTAACTTTACCCAGAAATAAATGGTGAATCATTGAAGTATTTGAGGTAGAGTTTGACCTTGTCAGAATTGGGTTTTAGAAAAAAGCATTCTGATACTACTGAATGAATGGGTTGGGTGATTCAAGAAAGGGAGAGTAACAGGAAGGTCAGGCAGGTAGAAAGTTGATATGATACTTAAAGCAAGGAATGTGAAAGCCTACCTTAAGGTAGTGTTGCTGGAGTGGAGAAGAGAGAAAGGAGAGATGCTAAAGTGATTAAACTGATGATACATGGAGAAAAAGGTGGGGTCGGTTGGGTAGCGGGGTGAAGAGAAGAAGGTAGAGTGAAGGATGACTCCCAGGTTTCTGGGTTGATTCTACTCATCTCATCTCTTTAGTGATAGTGTTTCCTCTTTTTAATTGGGAAGACCTTCCCTTTGCCATCTTTGTGCCAAGCACTTTGTACTTTAAGTAGCTGTATCATTTGTTGAGTGCTTACTATGTTCCAGGCATTACTATGATAAATACATTATCTCACTATAGAAGATGCTGTCAATGCCCTATCCATATCCCCTTGGCCCCATCTAGGAGTCACCTGCAGCCTTAGTGGATGGTTCCTATAAAAACAAAGCTTTCTACTTCAAGTCATGGATTTTCTGTGAGAGGGCTTTCTCTGTGTTCTGGACTATACCTGACCTGTGCTCAGGGGAGGCCAGAAGTGTCTGGGACGCTTGCCCAGGAGAAATTCTCAACCAGCGAGGAATGGGAAGTTAAGGATAACTACCCTTCCCAGCTTCCTAGCCCTGTGATGAAGAATCCCTGGTAGGATTTGGCCTCTTCTTCACCCAGGGGGTATGTGCTTGTTAACTGAGCCATTATTGGCTTTTCTCCTTGTCTCACATCATCACACTCTCACCTCCCAAATAAACTACTTGCACTCAAATTTTCATCTCAGATTGTGCTTTTGGGGAAACCTAAATTAAGGTACTCGATGCTCATTGCAACCCAATGAGGATGGTAAGAACTATTCCTGTCACCATTTTATATGTGTGTAAACTTATGCTTGGAGAGGTTAAATCAATTATCCCTATCACTTAGCTGGTAAATGCTAAAACCTGGATTCAAATCCAAAGGCTGTGATCTTAACACTAGGCTATATTGCCAGTCCTGAATTCCAAGATGCAAACTAGGCATCACTAGCTGTGGATTGAAAGCCAGAGGAAGCCTGCTTCAGTGCCTTTTAGGCAGCACTGAAACTGACTACTCTTTTCAGATTTCAATTCTTATTATTACAAATGCTGAGCCTGAGACTCGTCTGCCAGCACATCTTCCCTTTCCTCATGCCCACTTTAGTTGGTTAAAAATTCACTGTGTAGTTTCTTCCCCTTTTCTGAGCCTGGTAGTAATATAGAATTTAGAAGCTGGCCAGGTCATTTTTGAAGAAGGTCAGATGTAGTCACATAATGGCAAAAAGTGGTATGATGCATCAACCATTCTTAATTCTTTTTTCTACTTGTCAGATTTGCCTGCAGTACTTTCTTGGTTCAGTTCCTGGTTAAGAATTTGAAGTGAAATTGAATGATGAAAGGAAAAGGGCAATTGCTACTTGAGGTCAAGAAAAATAATGTGTCCAGAACCCAGCAGCAGCTCAGACTTTTCTCTCCTTGTCTACAATGTAAATGATTCATGTTGAAGGGAAGTACAGAGGAGAACCATGGAAAGCGGAAGATTTAATGTCAATTCCTTCATGAACTAGCGATGTGACATTAAGCAAATCACCTAACTTCTAAAGATCGTGCCTGGGCAGAGTAGTTTATGCCTATAATATGAACACTTAGAGAGGCCGAGGCAGGAGGATCACTTAAGGCCAGGGGTTCAAGACTAGCCTGGGCAACATAGAAAGACCCCACCTCTACAAAAAATTGTAAAAAAAGATCTTGGTTGTCATCTGAAAGAATAATTTCAAGTATGGATGGTCTGAAAGAATAATTTCAAGTAAGTTCTTTTCTAGTTTAAACATTTCTGTGGTTCTATCAAGCCCTGAGTTACAGTTGCCTAGATGAAGGAACCTCAGCTTCGAGTACACTGGTCCACTTCCCACTCTCTGCACATATTTGCACCTTCCTAAGTTTATGCTTTTTCCTGTGATTTTCCTTCCATATGTAATGGTTTGTCTTCTCTTATAAAATTTCAATTCAACTTTTATAATTTTTTGTCTTAATGATTGCAGAAATAATTGTGCCCTCCTCTGAAACCCTAAGCGTTTATTATCACACCACTTATCATATGGCACTTAGCATTTATAGCACAAGAAAACTCTGCAAGAGACATTATAGTAGGCATGGAGTACAGGATTAATTGCCAGAGAAGTGGTTTGGAGCGTAGTTCTCAACATGTGGTGGTCAAATCACATTGAGTTTCTAAGACTGTACTCCTTTCTCTCTCACTGATCACACCCATGCCACCATGTCATAACACTCCAGGATGAATACAATTAGTATATAAATGAATTCAAATACCTATGTAGGCCGTAATGCGTAAAGTGAAGCAGTACATTTGCAATAATGAGTGGAGGAACTCCCACAGAAAGGAGAGCGTAAGTCCCACCTAAAGGGGGCAGCAGTGCCTTGGCTGTGAGGTGGTACAGCACCCATGTGGATAGATTCTCAGTTCTTAAAGAAAAGTCAGAAATCTAAAGTCTTTGTTCCTGATTTTTAAATGTTAGCAACAAAATGAAACATTTTAAGCATACTTTCCATACATTTTATTTAGCTTGTAGGTGACCCCTGGTCTCTGGTCCACAAGTTTTCCTCAGCAAATTGCAGTCTGGCTTTTCCAGTGAGATTGCTTTTCCAAAAGTTATCCTACACCAGCTTTGTGACCCAAGGCAGATAATTTAACTTGTTTGAGTATCAGAGCTTTCTTGCCTATGATATCAACCTCATAGGATGTATGTGAACAGTAAATGAGAAAAATCCTGTAAAACACAGTACATAGAAGTTAACACAAAGTACTCCACGAATGTTTGTTCCTGCTCTGCTGCAACCATACTGCAATCTGGCCTTCTGTATCAACATGGCATACCTTTAAATACCTTTGTGCCATCTCTCCTTCTGCCAGTGCACACTCTTCTCCCCTCAGCCTCCGAGTTTTAACTTCTTGAGTAATGTGCCGTCTCAAGTTGAGTATAAATTTCTTGATAGTAAAGATTACTCGAGTTCTTCCCCTCCCCCATTTAAAAAACGGTTTTATGCTGGAAATTTTCAATCACGTACAATGTAGAGAGAACAGTATAATCAACCCTTGCATACTGACCCATCCTCAACAATTTTCTTTCTTTTCTTTTTTTTTCTTTTTGAGACAGAGTTTCACTCTTGTTGCCCAGGCTGGACTGCAACGGCTTGATCTCAGCTCACTGCAACCTTCGCCTCCAGGGTTCAAGCAATTCTCCTGCTTCGGCCTCCCCAGTAGGTGGGACTACAGGTGTCTACCACCACGCCCAGTTAATTTTTGTATTTTTAGTAGAGATGGGGTTTCACCATGTCAGTCAGGCTGTTCTTGAACTCCTGACCTCAGGTGATCTACCCGCCTCGGCCTCCCAAAGTGCTGGGATTACAGGCATGAGCCACCATGCCTGGCCCCTGAACAATTTTCAATGCATGGCCGATTTGGTTTCATCTACACCCTCACTAACCAATTCCCCCTGACACTGCATTATTTTGAAGCCTGCTAAAGACATCACATCATCTCACTTGTAAATACTTCAATAGTTAAACAGCTTTTTAAGGAATGTGTGAGAAAGAAAATAATGCTGTGGAAAGATTATTAATGATGATGGGGAGGTAGAGGGCAAGCAGGAGAGACTGACTAGTAATATGTATCCTACAAAGATGAGGGTTCTTTTCTTTCCAAGATTTAAAAATTTAAAAATTCTGCATAAGCCAGTACTACACAGCTTGAACAAAATATGTGGGCACATTCTGGCCATCAGGCCATAAGTATGCAAGCTTTGCTATAAATAATAAATGGGGAAAGGGGCAATCAGCAAGGGATAGACTCATAATAGCGTCAGTTTAAAGGAAGGAATTCAGTCTCCAATTGCCAGGTAAACTTGTGAGTTTTAAAATGGTTTCCACCTTAGAGTTCTCACAATTAGAAAAAAATTTTAGAATACGTTTTGCATAAGTCTTGGTTGATAATAGAAATGCTGTGACTATTTTTAATTAATTCATTCTGGCTGCCAATACCAACATTTCACAAAATGTGCTTTTGCTGAGGTTACCAATTTTGTCAAGCCCAGCTGAGTTGACCAGTTTCTCCTATATGGTTTTCAGCATGACCGGTTTTCTCCTGTTTTTTTTTTTTTCTTCTACATTGATCATACCACTTAACAAACTGCTAGCTTTGGTCTTGAACTCTCTCTCTCTCTCTCTCTCTATATATATATACACATATATATACACATATATATACACACATATATACACATATATATACACATATATACACATATATACATATATACAAATATATATACACATATATACATATATACACATATATACATATATACACACATATATACACACACATATATATACACACACATATATACATATATACACACATATATACATATATACACATATATACATATATACACATATATATATACATATATACACATATATACACATATATATACATATATATATGCGTGTGTGTGTGTGTATACATCATATATATTTTCTTTTTTTCTCCTGGTTTTCTTTCTACTACATTGGTCATACCTCTTACAATATGCTAGCTTTGGTTTTGAACTATATATATATATATATATATATATATACACACACACATACATATATAGACATATATATAAACATATATATAACAGACACACTTTTCCTAGTTGATTTTGTCTAGTTACGTTACTTTAAATATTATTTAAATATTGATGATTCAAATTTATTCCTAGATTTCACTTTTCTCTGAAGCTCTAGACTCTTATAAATAACTTCCTACTTAACAGTTCCACGTATTTATTTATTTATGTATATATTTATTTATTTATTTTTGAGACGGAGTTTCACACTTTCGCCCAGGCTGGAGCGAAGTGGTGCTATCTCGGCTCAGTGCAGCCTCCACCCCCAGGGTTCAAGTGATTCTCCTGCCTCAGCCTCCCGAGTAGCTGGGATTATAGGCACCCGCCACCATGCCTGCTAATTTTTGTATTTTTAGTAGAGACGGGGTTTTGCCGTATTGGCCAGGTGCTCTCAAACTCTTGACCTCAGGTGATTCACCCACCTTGGCCTCCCAAAGTGCTAGGATTACAGGCGTGAGCCACGGTGTCCGGCCCCACATAGATTTTTAAAAGGCATCTGAAAGTTGCTGTCTCTAAGTTCAAACAAATTCCCCATTTCTGCACCCATACTTTCCTTCCAGTCTTTTTCATCTCTGTAAATGGCACCACCATCCACCTAGTTGCTCTAACCCCAAACCTAAGAAAGTTATTAATTCTTCCTTCCCCAGCCTCCTCCAATCTTGTTTTATTCATTCAGTCTCCAAATACTACTTCGAATCTGTTCAGTCTTCTCCATTCCCATGACCCCCGCCTTAGTATAAGCCTACATCTTCTGTATTCTGGGCCACTAGAATAGCCTCTACTGGTTTCTGTGCTTCCATTCTTGCCTCATCTGCCTTGTCTACTTTTCTAGCCAACTACTTTCTTCTCCTTCCTTATTAACAGAATCATTATTTAGTTAGAGGCAGCAATGTTTAAAATGCATGTTCAAAGACTCCCTTACAGTTACAGATGGCCATCTGACAGAGATACAATAAATAAGGCAAGCAGTGATAATGTCTATAAATTTTTGCTTTATTTTTACAAGTGCTATTCTTTCCTGCTCCCCTCTTTCTCCTTCCTCCATAAGTAAGATAAAAGTAAAACAATGAAGACATATGTTGAAATTTAATGCCTTTATCGATGATCTGAGTGACTTCTTGGCTGAATCAAATGATAGTTTTTAAATACTGGAAGGCTATTTCCTTATTTATTCATGCTATGCATAATGTAATGGTTACTAACTTCACATACTTTTAAGTTTAATCTGTATTGTTAACATTTTCTTCATCATGTTCTTAAATCTAGACAGTTGGAAAAACAACAAATTAAGCCCTGATTTGTAGCATTTGCCAGTATCTGAGGTGTAAATACTCTCACTAACTTAAATACATCAATATAAGGTCACTGAAGATGCAGAGCAGTGCGGTATTATATAGTATTTCCACAATGTGTGTGTGTATTAGGTATAAATAATTTCAAAAACATAGATAATAAGAAAATGTAAAATAATTCAAAAATGGTAAATTTTTGATTATTTATTGCTTTTGAGTTTCAAATATTTAATTATAAGTTTATATAATTTAATTTTTAATAATAATTGTGTACCAGCTCACAAAATTCCTGAAGTTTTAACAATTGGCTCTTCTGAGCTGACACAAGTTAGCTCCAGCATTTCACTGACACTAGCACTCTGTCCTGGATTGTGCTTTGCTTGTTCTTACTTCAGGACTTTTGCTTTTACCCTTCCTCTGCTCTTCAGTTCTTCACAAGCCTAGATTCTGATCTCAGCTCAAGTATTGTAGAGGGGCCTTTCCTGATCAACTGAATTAAGCAGCTTTACTTACCCCAACTTTATTCCATTATTCTCTTCATTAAGATTGAACAATTATCAGTCCTAGAAAAGCATGTAATAATCTATGGCATTCATGCTTATGACAAAAAATTCAAACCAAACAAAAGTATATCCAGGAGGACTTCCATTTCCAGGAAGATGCAATAGATATACTTTTCCCGGTACTACAAAAAAACCCTGGGCATAATATATAAAACAAACATATGAAGATTCTGATTAGTAAAGAGAAGGCAAAAGAGGTGAGAGAACTTCAGGATCTGAAGAATGACATGACAGTGAGTTCCTTACTCTTTGTTTTCCCTTTACATGTCACAGATGGTAATTGCAAAGCTGGCAACCTGGAAATGCCAATGGGCACAGACAAAAAAAATGTCCCAGCAAAAGTCGGCTCCGTCGAGTCAAAGGACCAGGATAAAGGCAGTCTAGCAAGACAGAAAACTTCATAGAAAAATAACAAACTTACTGCTGCCAAACACCAAAACTATGGCCCCATCCTCACTCATACCAGTGAAGGCCAAGTGGGGAGATTTTAACTTTACCCAATTATAGCTTTGTCCTCCTATAGTCTTTCCTCCCTGTAGATAAAATTTAAGATATTCAATCATGAAATTGCCCTTACTTCCATAAACCCAAACCAAAGCCAAATCCTTATTATGTTCTTTTTACATATTTTCGCTGAGATATCACACAAATTCCCTGCTTTCTCCCTTGCAGCACAAAATATTAAACCCAACTTGTTTAACTGTAAGTACTTCTGGGGATCTTTGGCTGAAAAGCATTGACAATATGAAGTTGCCCCAACCCCTTTTTATTACTGTTTTCTAACTCAAATGATAGTATGTTATATACACTGCACTTTTTTTTATTTCACTTAATGATATATTTCAAACATACTGCATATTAGTGCCTACAGATTTACCTTATTCCTTTTACCAGGTGCATAATAATTGCACAATATGAATGTAAATGAATATATTTAACCTGCCTTATATTAATGAACATTCAAGTCTTTTTCCAATCTTTTCCTCTTATAATCTACATGAATAGCTTTGTACATACTGTCTGTACAAGTACAGGTATATCTAAAGGATAATTTCTGAGAAGTATAAATGCTAGTTCAAAGGGTATGTGCATTTTAAATTTTGATACATACTGTTTCCAAGGCTTTACAAAAAAGTTGCCCCAAATGATTTAACCACCTACAATATTTAAGAAAGTTTTGTCCTGCTACACTTTTCATAGCAAATTTGTATTACCAAACCTAGGTCTTTGCAAATTCATTGGGTAAAAATTTTTATCTCAAAGTAGTTTGTTTTCATCTTATTTTTAGAGATGTTGTTTGAGCTCTATGTTTAAAAAGGATTTGTATATCTTTTTATGTGAGCTGTCTTCTCAAATAGTTGTAATATAAACACATATTATGTGTAACAATATATAATGTATATGTTATAAAAAATATGTAATCTTTGTATCTTCTTATTTACACAGTATCTTATATTCTATTGAATCTTACTTGCAGGGTTTATTACATAGTTTCAAAATATATGTATATATTTCCTCATCCTATCTTTTGCAACCTACTACTGTGATTTGTGGCATCTTTTACCAACATTCACAAAGTTTACCTTTACTTTATTCTGATACTGACTGGTTTGAATCCTAAATACATTTTTTCAGTGTTTCCTTTTTCTTCTAGTTACCAGTTCCCACATTCTACTCTTAGTAAAAATACTTTTTTTCTTCTTTTAATGATTATTTCTTGTTTGTTTCATAGCCTAGTTTTCCCTCCCTCCCACCTTCTCTTTCTCTCCTTCACCCTCCCTTCCTTCCTTCATTCTTCCCCCAACTCTTTCTCTTTCTTCTGGTATCTAATCTGTTGCCACAGTAATAATTTATATAATTAGATGCCCTGATTTGGAAAGGAAAGAGGAAATTTTCAGAAACATCATGGTTTATTAAACTAAAAGAATCATTATTTCCCTCCTGCTCTTGATGTTGCCATGATGGTGTATGTAGGTGGTAGCTAAAAATAATCTGATGAATATTCTCCTCTATGTTGTATTCACTAGCATGTTTAGTGCCTCTTTACTAATGAGAATTTGTCAAAAAATGCAAAATTCTTTGTTTCTGATTGTTGTAATAAGAACACCATTTGAGTTCACAGACATCCTATGAATCTACAAATATGCATATATAAATACAACTTGCTTGATTTTAAGAAATATAAAGCCAGACAAAGAATAGAGGGTAGAAAATTTCTTTTTCTCCAGCCAAGGCTCACAAAGCATTTTCAGGTCACTGCTAGCTATAAAGTATCCTGATTTGCAGAGTATATCTGAGATTAAGATATCATTTTCAGTTTTACACAATACTTTATAGGGAAGTTTTCAATTCGTCAGAATAACTCAGAAGGCTACATTGCTTACTTTTTAAGTAGAAAAGAGCTTCTTAATAAAGATTTATAGGTTGTACTTCATTTTCATTCTATTTTTTAGCATATTCTGGTCTTGAGTCTTTTGCTCTTTCTAGTCAGTAGTACTGGAGTTTCCCTGCATTTACTGTTGGGACGCGAAGTGTGAGTAATCTTAGACTTAAACGTGACTAGCTACATAGCCCTTGGCTCTGGGCATGAGAGGCCCCTGCTCAGGGGCCCATGCTTTGGAGCCACACTGGCTCTTCTTCAGCCACACCACTCCACTATGAGGTGAGGAGCCTCCAGGGCCTAATGAGATATACCAACCCAAAGCCCACAGTGCTCCTTTCCAGAGAAAGCTCCAAGTACTCGGACCCTCAGAATTTTCTGCCCAAATGGCTCTGAGCTTGCTGCTAGGGCTTTTGTAAGGCAAAGACCATGCCATAGGAGTGTATAACCCTAAGCCGAAGAATGACCCAAGGATGCCAACGGTGAGAACAGAGCTTGGATTCTCAGGCTGGAGTATCCTCACACATACACTGGAGACCCCTTTCAGTGTGGGACAGAGGCGGAAGAAGGCAGAGTTGTTCTGGCTCTTCTCACATCACCAAGACTCAGTGTGAAACCCCAAGGAATCTGGAGATTCTAACTTTGAAACTGGACTTCAAGTCATTTCTAAGCTATATTTATTAAAGGAGGAGGACAGAACATCTTTTACTGAATACTTTGCTAGCTTGATTTATAAGTTTTAAATATTTAGACATAAGGTATTTTGGCCTTCATTTGCACTGTCCTTCACAAATGTTAGGGAAGTGCTTTGCACTAGATTCTGTATCCTTCTCTGTTGGGTCTTTTTTAGGCTGACTCCAGGTTATTCGTTGTTTTCACCAAACTATTCAGGAAGGGTAATTTTCAGCATCTCTGCTCCTTTAAAAGGGGAACTAATATTCACTGTTTTCCTTATACGGACACTTTGTAGACATTAGCTCATTACATCTTCATAGCAACTCTGTGAGGTGAATGTTATTTCCATCATATGAGTCAGGAAACTCAAAAAGCAAAGTAACTTGCCTAGGATTTCACAGATAATGACATAGCTACTTCATCAAGCTCTCTACCTCCAGTCCTCTTTTCCCTACACCTCTTGAATTTTAGTAGATGTTCTTACTTCCCATTTTAGTAAGAAGGTTGAGGCCAGGTACAGTAAAAGTCCCTAAATTATGTCTTCTTTTGAAAGGTGTCTTCTTTTGAAAAGTATATCTTCTTTTGAAAAGCATCTGTTCATGTCCTTTGCCCACTTTTTAATGGGGTTGTCTTTTTCTTGCAAATTTAAGTTCCTTATAGATGCTGGATATTAGACCTTTGTCAGATGCATAGTCTCTATGTTTCTTCACCTACTCTCTTCCTTTGCTCTAGTTGATAAGGTAGATAGCTTCCTTCTCATTTTTTAGGTAACTCTTCCATTTCTAACTCAAAGATACCAACTTTCTCTTCTCTCCGTTCCCATCTTCAACTTACACTTCTCCACTGGCTTCTTCTCCCTCATAGTCATTCCCAATTCTAAAGGAATTTTGAAAACATTTTTCTTTGACTTGTTGATGTCTTTTATTACTTCCTTAATTTTCTCCTTTCTCTTCAAGTGAAATTTCTTGAAACCGAAGTTAATTTTCATTACATCATTATTCATCGATCCTTTATAATCTAGACTATTTTCTCTGGTTCTACAAAACTTGCAACCCAAGGCCCCATGAAAAACTAAGACTTTTTGATGGATAACATATCTAGTAAAATGCATAAAGTGTGCTAAACCTTATTTATTTATTTTTATTTAACTTTTATTTTAAGTTAAGGGGTATATGTACAGGTTTATTATATAGGTAAATTTGTGTAATGGAGGTTTGTTGTATAGATTATTTCATCACCCAGGTATTAAACCTAGTACCCATTAGCCATTTTTTCCAGTCATCTCCCTCCTCTAACCTCCACCCTCTGACAGGCCTCAGTGTTGTTCCCCTCTATGTGTCCATGTGTTTCATCATGTAGCTCCTACTTATAAGTGAGTACATGTCACTTATATGTATTTGGTTTTTGGTTTTCAGTTCCTCTGTCAGTTCACTAAGGATAATGGCCTCCAGCTCCATTCATGTCCCTGCAAAGGACATGATCTCATTCTTTCTTAGCTGCGTAGTATCTCATGAGGTATATAGTATTTCATGGGGTATATAGTATAGTATTTCATGGGGTGTGTGTACCACATTTTCTTTATCTAGTCTACCATCGATGGGCATTTGGGTTGATTCTATGCCTTTGCTATTGTGAATAGTGCTGCAATGGACATATGTGTGCATGTGTCTTCATAATAGTATGATTTATATTCCTTGGGATTGCTGGGTCATATAATATTTGTTTTTAGGTCTTTGAGGAATTGCCACACTGCCACAATGGTTGAACTAATTTACACTCCTACTAACAGTGTATAAGCGTTCCTTTTTCTCTGCAACCTCAACAGCATCTGCTGGTTTTTGACTTTTTAATAGTAGCCATTCTGACTGGTGAGATATGGTAGCTCTTTGTTGTTTTGATTTGCATTTCTCTAATGATTAGTGATGTTGAGCTTTTTCTCCATATGCTTGTTGGCCGCATATATGTCATCTTTTGTCTGTTTATGTCCTTGCCCCACTTTCAATGGGTTTTTTTTTGTAAATTTAAGTTCCTTATGGATGCTAGATATTAGACTTCTGTCAAATGCATAGTTGAAAAATTTTTATCCCATTCTGTAGGTTGTCTGTTCACTCTGCTGACATTTTCCTTTGCTGAAGTGCACTAATCTTAAATGAACAGTTAGATTATTTTTACATGTATACACCCAGGTAACCACCATGCAGATCAAGACACAAAACATTTCCAAAACCCCGTAAAACTCAACTGTGTTTCTTTTCAGAACATATTATCACTACAACCTCCATCCCTGCCTATCCAGAGGTAAACCCTACTCTGATTTCTATAAACATTGTTTACTTTTGCTTGTTGTTGAACTTTCTATAAATGGAATCCTATACTACATATTCATTGTGTGTAGTCTTTTATATATCTTTTATATCTGACTTACTTCACTCAAAACAATATGCAGGAGGGGCAACCTGGTTGTAGACTACACTAGAAGTATTCTATTTTTATTTTTTTCCTTTATCACTGATACTATTCCATTGTAGGAATATATCACAACTTGTTTGTTCTTTTGCCTGTTAGTGGACATTTGAATTGTTTCAGTTTGGGGTTATTGTGAATAAAGCTGCAATGATCAGTCTTGTGAAAGTTTTTTGTGGGGACATGCACTTCTCTTGAGTAAATACCTACAACTGAAACTGCTGTGTCATAAGGTAAGTGAATGTTTAACACTAGTAGAGAAAGACAGACAATTTTACAAAGTGGTTGTATCATTTTGTACTCATACCAGCAATTTTGAGAGCTGATCCACATTCTTGCCACCATTTGATATCATTAGTCTTTAAATTTTTTTTTTTTTTTCTTTTTGAGATGGAGTCTCGCTCTGTCACTCAGGCTGGAGTGCAGTGGCGCTATCTCAACTCACTGCAACCTTTGCCTCCTGGGCTCAAGCGATTCTCCTGCCTCAGCCTCCCGAGTAGATGGGATTACAGGCACCCACCACCACGCCTGGCAAATTTTATTTTTAGTAGAGTTGGGGTTTCACCATGTTGGCCAGGCTGGTTTTGAACTCCTGACCTCAAATGATCCGCCCGCCTTGGCCTCCTGAAGTGCTGGAATTACAGGCATGAGCAACCTGCTCCTGATCTAAAATTTTTTAAATTTAATTTTAGCCATTTTGGTGCCTGCATGACATTATTTATTGTGGTTTTAACTTGTATTTAACTAATTATGTTAAATACTTTTTCATGTGTTTATTGAGATAGCCACATTTGTGAAGTGCCGTTGAAATCTTTTATTCATTATTCTTATTGGATGTTTAGTCTTTTTATAATTGATTTGTAATGCTGTGTCAGGTATGTGTATTGTAAATTTTTCCTCCCAGTCTGTGACTTGCCTTTTCATTTTTCTACTGGTGTCTTTGATGAGCAGAAATGTTTAGTTTTGGTAATGTCTAATTTTTCAAGTTTTAATTTCATGATTGGGGCTATTTAAGTTCTGTTTAAGAAATTTTGCCTGCCCCAAAGTCATAAAGATATTCCCCTATACTTTCTTTCAGAATCTTTATAGCTTTTTATTTTACATATAGGTATATGATTAATCTCAAGTAAATTTCTGTGTATGGTACAAGGCAGGAATCAAGGTTCATGTCTTTTTATGTGTGTTATATCTGGTTGCTGCCCCACCATTTATTATAAAGGTCTTCTTTTTCCCATTGAATTGTATTGGTGCCTTTGTAGTAGATCATATGGACTGTATAAGCAGGTCTACCTATTGATATATTTTTCTTTCTTTGTCTAATGCCGTACTCTTTTAATCACTGTGTCCTACTGATTTTGAAAAGCAGAGGCCTCTTCTCAGTCCTTACATCTCATCTTATGCATGGATTTGCATTAGCCAGCAACTCACATTCTTTGTGAGGAAAAACATAGGCATTGAAGTCAGGCAGATTTGTCTTTAAAATATAGCTCCATCACCACATAATGGCTATTTAAGATCAACAGCAAGTATGAGAAAATAATATCCAGAACTTGGAAATAAGGCCAAAGAATGACTGTGTGTCATCCTGGAGCATTGCTTAATAGATCTACCCAATGATTATTTTATTCTCCAAGAGATATACCTTTGTTTGATTTATATGCCATTTATTAGAACTAATACTGTGTAAAAAGTTAACTTGTAGATTTTTGCCCTATAGAGAAGCAAATCATTTTTATCTAGCAGAGAACATAACTCCAAAGGCTATAGTTTATTTTGACCTATAGAACATTAACTTGTATGACATTGTAATTTAGCAAACTTATTTCAGCTTATAACTTTAAACGTATCTTTTGTGACTCGCTATGTATACTGTTTCCCTAATTTTTCTATAAGCCAGCTTTACCATCATGCTTGTTATCTCATTAAAGAGACAGACATTTGAAACCTATTCATTCTATAATTATACGACAGTCATATCTTTAAATTTTGAAAATTATACTTTGACCATAAGTGAGGAGGTAAATGTTATTTCAAGAAGTTATGTGAACTGCGTGACTGGTGATGTCATTATCCAAGAAAGAGAATATATAAGAAGAATTTTCTTTTTTTCTTTTTGATACAAATTCTCACTCTGTCATCTAGGCTGGAGGGCAGTGGCATGATCATAGCTCACTGCAACTTCCACCTCCCGGGCTCAAGTGATTCTCCCACCTCAGCCTCCCGAGTAGCTGGGACTACAGGCCTGTGCCACCATGCCCAGCTAATTTTTGTATTTTTTTGTAGAGACAACGTTTTGTTTGCCCTGTTGCCCAGGCTGGTCTCAAACTCCTGAGCTCAAGCAATCCACCCACTTCAGCCTCCCAAAATTCTGGGATTATAGATGTGCGCCACCGCACCAGGACATAAGAAGCATTCTTAAGGACGGTAATGATTTTTGTTTTGGTATATTATGCTCTGAGGTGGAAATGAATGACTCACATATGAAAATCTAGGTTTGAAGAGTGTGAATAGAGGGCTAGAGGTAAAAAAAAAAAAGAAATTTTGGAGTCATCAGCATGTAGGTGAAATTTAGCAGGTGAGGGTGCCTTGGGATAACAGGAAAGTATTAAAGATATAATTGAGAATAAAAAAATTTAGGGAATGGATTTTAAAAAGCCATAGAAGGAAATTAGAAAGGAGTAGTGAAAAGCAGCCATGAGAGAAATTTTAAGGAGTGAGTGGCTAAGTGTAGATGTGACCCAGGAGACAACTAGGATGGGAATTAGAAAGAAGCAATTGAACTTAGCAATTAACAAGCTTTTGGTAACCTAGTAAAAGCATTTTCAATAGAGAGGTGAGGATGAATATCAAACTTGCTGTGGGTTGGGAGAAAATGAAATATGAAGAAATGGATGCTATAAATACAGATTAATGTTTTAGGAAGTTTGAATCTAAAACCTAAATCAGATCATAATAAGTCACTGCTTAAAACAACTGGTTGATGGATTTCCATTATACTTGGAATAAAATTTACCCCCTCATCATAGTCTTTTCAGCTCCATATGACGACGTCTCTGCTTATCAATCTGACTTCTTGTGCCAGTTTGCCACTCTCATTATGCTGCAAACTTACTCAGTTTTCTCTTTTCCTCAAATATACCAACAATTTTCCTATATTTTAGGGACTTTGCCTTTGCCATTTCCTCCTCTTGATAGACTCTCCCTCCAGATCTTTGCAAGGCTGGAAGGATAGCTATGAAGGTATGCCGCTCAGATTTCCCTTCAAGAGAACCTGCTGTGAGGAGCAGAGTTAGCACTCTCTAGTGGCCGTGACTTGTGACCCACATCAGCATTCATACTGAGGCTAACTGCATCCAGCCAACGACTGAGCAGTATCGATGGGATGGTCAGTAGGGACACCACAGCTGGGCCATTCTTGCCCAAGGCAGGACTCCTCTGATAGGCAGTTTCTACTTTGGGGCTCCCATTGGCCTGAGACTTTCTCACAACTGTGCTGCACTCTTGAAAATCTTCCTATCCAATCCTCTTTCTTTCCTGCTCTCCTTTCCCAGGTGCCAGAACTGCATTGTGGTTTGAAGACTCTCCTGCCTTCTCTTGCTTGTATCCTTCACAGGTGTTTTCTGATCTATTTTAAAACTAATCCTGTCTTGTCATCTAGACCTTGGAGGACCTGAACTGACATAGCTGGCAATCACTTAATATCTCAGCTCAAATGTCACTTTCTCAGAGATTGCAAATCTATAGTACTCAATCCCTGGTCACCTCCTATCTAATTCCCCTTAGTTTCTTTATAATGGCAAAAACCACAATTACTTTTGCACCAACTCAAAAACAGACTTAAAGGATATTACAACTAGATAAAATGTCTTGTCCCAGATTAGATATTGGTTTGGACAAAACTACTATAAAAGGTATGATGGAGACAATTGAGGAAATTTGAATATGAATTAGGAATTAGATGACATAACATTATTTATCATTGTATCCCAATTTTAAAATATTTTTGTATATTATTTTAAAGTAAATTACAGAGATTTTGAACATTTCACCTCTAAACACAGTTTGCATTTCTAAAAAAAGAGAACATTTTCATACATGGGCAAAGTATTCTTATAATGCCTGAAAAAAATTAATAATATTTTCTTTATATCCCCGAATTCCTAATTCATATTCAAATTTCCTCAGTTGTCTCCATGATGCCTTTTACAGCAGCTTTGTCCAGAGTAGTATCTAATCTGGGACAAGACATTTTATCTGGCTGTAATATCCTTTCAATCTTTTTCAATCTAATTTACTGCCTTTTTTCTTGCACTGGCTTACTGAAGAGAATGGCCAGTTCCTAAGGAATGTTTTACTTTCTGGATTCATCTGATTGTTTCCTCACAATGTACCTTAAAAATTTTTTTTAAAATGGTTCCTCTGTCTCCTGTATTTTCATAATCTCAGACTGAGACTCTATGCCCATTAAACAATAACTCTCCATTCTCCCCTTCTTCCAATCCCTGATAATCACCATTCTACCTTCTATCTCTATGAATTTCCCTATTCTAGGTACCTCAATTAAGCAGAATCATATTTGTCCTTTTGTATCTGGCTTATTTCATTTAACGATGTTTTCAAAGTTCACACATGTTGTAGTATATATCAGGATTTCATTACTTTTTAAGGCTGAATAATATTCCACTGTATTTACAGACTATATTTGATTTATCCAATGGACATTTGGGTTGTTTCTATCTTTTGGCTATTACGAATAATGCTGCTACAAATATGGGTAAACAGCTATCTGTTCTAGCCTCTATTTTCATTTCTCTTGGGTATATACCCAGAAGTGGAATTGTTGAATCACATGAATCACGTGTATTTTTTGAGGAGCTGCCATACTGTTTTCCACAGCATCTCTACCATTTTACATTCCCACCTGCAATGTATAGAGTTCCAATTTCTTCACATCCTTGCCAATATCTGCTATTTTCAGATGTTGGATATGAAGTGGTATCTCATCATGATTTTTATTTACATTTCCCTAGTGGTTAGTGATGTTGAATATCTTATCATGTTCATATTGTTCATTCCTATGTCTTCTTGGAAAAACGTCTATTCGAGTCCTTTGCCTATTTTTGAATTGTTTGTTTTTCTGTTGTTCAGTTATAGGAGTTCCTTATATATTCAGAATATCAGTCCTTTTTCAGATATATGATTTGCAAATATTTTCTCCCATTCTCCCACGTGGGTTTCTTTTTCACTCTCTTCATAGTATCTTTTGATGCCCAAAAGTTTTTAGCTTTGGTGAGGCCCAATTTATTTATTTTCTGGTTTGTTGGTGTAGTCCAATTTATTTATTTTCTGTTTTGTTGGTGAAGCCCAATTTATTATTTTCTGTTTTGCCGTTTCGGTACTTTCCACTGAAGATCCTTCCTGATCCCTTTCTCCAGTTGCCATTGTTCTCTCCAGAGTTAACCACTGGTTAAATAGCTTGGTGTGTATTTTATTTATATAAAGATATTTTATTTATATAAAAATGTGCACTTGGGCCAGGTACGGTGGCTCACGCCTATAGTCCCAGCACTTTGGGAGGCCAATGCAGGTGGATCACCCGAGGTTGGAGTTCGAGACCAGCCTGACCAACGTGGTGAAACCCCATCTCTACTAAAAATACAAAAATCAGCCAGGATTGGTGGCACGGGCTTGTACTCTCAGCTACTTGGAAGGCTGAGGCAGGAGAATCGCTTGAACCTGGGAGGCAGAGGTTGCAGTGAACTGAGATTGCACCGCTGGACTCGAGCCTGAGTGACAAAACAAGATTCTGTCTCAAAAAAAAAAAAAAGTACATTTGTGTACTCAGATCTATCATTATTTTATGGCTTCTAATGTTGGTAATTATGCTGAGGAAGTCTTTCTGAATTCTAAAATTATTAAACTAAGTATATGTTCTTTTAACTTTTTTTATAGTTAAACTTTCAACTTGTTTTGATTGTATTTTGATACAAAATCTGAAATGTGGATCTAACTTTATTTTCCCAATGGACTGTAGAATACATTTTGTCCAGATGAATTTTTCCTTCTATTCTGCATTTTTATCAAAGTACTTCATAGATGTGGTTTACTAAATATAGTTCATAAGGGTAAAAGTCGCCTGTCCCATTCTTTTCCATTTTCTGTTTCAACTGTGAAAGCAGTTGTGGGGACAAAATAAAGAATTTAGAAAATTTGCCTGTCATATACCATTTCTGAGTTCCTGAAGATATACTCCAGCAAAGTAAGAGTGAAACATAACAGGATGAAGATGTGAAATATGAGAAACAGTGAGTTTAACCAAGGAATCCAACTGTTGTTTTACAGATCTAAAAAGCAATTGGGCAATTGGTCTCAGTTGGAATAGGTAATCAGTGTCTCATTTCCCATTTCCCAGAGGTAATACATTTTAAGTACTCCAACAGTCTCATCTTTTTAAGAAAATAGACCATTTTTTAGAGCAGTTTTAGGTTCACAGCAAAATTGAGCAGAAATTTCAGAGCTCACGTATCCTCTGCCCCTATACTTGTGCAACCTCTCCCCTACTATCAACATCTTGCATGAGAGAGGTATATTTATGACAACTGATGAACCTACATTTGAGAGACAGGACTAGTTGGATTTCCTAGGCTGACTAAGAATTCCTAAGCCTAGCTGGGGAAGTGACTGCACCTACCTTTAAACACAGGGCTTGTAACTCAGCTCACTAAAATACCAATTAGGCTAAAAGCAGGAGGTAAAGAAATAGTCAATCATCTATCACCTGAGAGCACAGGGGGAGGGACAATGATCAGGATAAAAACCCAGGCGTTCCAGCCAGCAGTGGCAACTCCCTTTGGGTGCCCTCCTGTTGTATGGGAGCTCTGTTTTCACTCTATTAAATCTTGCAACTGCACACTCTTCTGGTCCCTGTTTGTTCTGGCTCGAGCTGAGCTTTCGCTCACTGTCCACCACTGCTGATCGCTGTCATTGCAGACACTGCTGCTGACTTCCACCCTCCAGATCCAGCAGGGTGTCCACTGCACTTCTGATCCAGTGAGGCACCCATTGCCACTCCTGATGGGGCTAAAGGCTCACCATTGTTCCTGTGCAGCTAAGTGCCCAGGTTCGTCCTAATCAAGCTGAACACTAGTCGCTGGGTTCCACAGTTCTCTTCCATGACCCACAGCTTCTAATAGAGCTATTACACTCACTGCATGGCCCAAGGTTCCATTCCTTGGAATCTGTGAGGCCAAGAACTCCAGGTCAGAGAGCAAAAGGCTTGCCACCATCTTGGGAGTGGCCCGCCACCATCTTGGGAACTCTTAAGAACAAAGACCTGCCAGTAACACATTGATGTGTTATCACATTATTATCATCTGAAGTAAAGAGCTCACATTAAGATTCACTTTTGGTGTTGTACATTCCATGGGTATTAACAAATATATCATTAAATCTGTCCATTATTATAGGATCATATAGAATAGTGTTCACTGCCCTAAACATCCTCTGTGCTCTGCCTATTCATGCCTCCTCTGCCTGATCCCTGATGGCCACTGATCTTTTTGCTGCCTCCGTAGTTTTTATCTTTTCCAAAATGTCACATTGTTGGAATCATACAGTATGTAGCCTTTCAGATTTGCCTTCTTTTACTTAGTAATATGCATGTAAGTTTCCTTCATGTTATTTCATGGCTTGATAGCTTTTTTCTTTTTACTGAGTTCTTTTTATTTTTTTGAGACAGTCTAACTCTGTCACCCAGGCTAGAGTGCAGTGGCACAGTAGTTCCCTGCAACCTTGACCTCCTGGGCTCAAGCAATCCTCCTGCCTTAGCTTCTCAAGCAGCTAGGACCACAGGTGTGTGCCATCGTGCCTAACTATTTAAAACATTTTTGGGGGCTGGGTATGGTGGCTCACACCTGTAATCCCAAGACTTTGACAGGCAGAGGCGGGTGGATCACTTGAGGTCAGCAGTTCCAGACCAGCCTGCGCAACATGGTGAAACCCTGTCTCTCCTAAAAATAAAAAAATTAGCCGGGTATGGTGGCATATGTCTGTACTCTCAGCTACATGAGAGGCTGAGGCACCAGAGTCATTTGAGCCTGGGAGGCAGAGGCTGCAGTGAGCCAAGATCTCACCATTGCACTCCAGCATGTGTGACAGAGTGAGACTCCATCTGAAAAAAAGCCAAAACAAAACAAACCAAAAAAACCCTAAAAACAATTTTATTTTTTTGGTAGACATGAAGGGGGGCAGTGGGGTGGGTTTCGCTATTTTGCTCAGGCTGGTCTAGAACTCCGGGCCTCAAGTGATCCTCTTGCCTAGGCTTTCCAAAACGCTGAGATTACAGGTGTGAGCCACCATGCCTGGCCTGTTTTTTTTTTCTTTCTAGAGGTGAGTAATAGTCTATTGTGTGGATGTACCATAGTTTATCCTGTAATCCACTGAAGACATCTTGGTTTCTTCCCAGTTTGGGCCATTATAAATAAAGCTGCTTTAAACATCTGTGGTCTTTTAAATATTTCATCTTCTTTTCTAGTAAGTTCACTCATTTTCTTTAAACATGTTTTTTACTTCACTTTTAAAATTTGTGTTTCTAAGGCTAAGCTGCCTAACTGTATTTGTGGCGATCTAATATATTTGTCTTGTTCTTGTTCTTACGGTGTGTCTTAGGGTGAGTTCTCTAGGAAACAGATTAGGAGATAAGAGATTTCCAGCCTCTCAGAAACAAGGAGCTGACTGAAGCTGAATTGGGCATAGAGAGAAGTTAAACCATGGTGCAGTCAAAACAGACGCCTCAGCCAACTAGATGGGGAACTATGAAGTTGGAGAAGACCTTCAGAGTTCCCTTGAATTGAGGCAAGGAGCCCAACCTTTTTTCTTCCACACTAATCAGTCTTTGGATGTGTTCTGTCCCCAGGGAAGTTGTGTAATCTTTTGCAAGGCACATACCTTTGGTGGAGGGCAATTTCCTGGGGGGAACTAAATTGTGAGTTTTTAGCAGTCAAAACTCATGGAAACTGGGGATATAAGTTCCTTGGTTCTGAAAAGAGAATGGTAGGTGGTACTTCATAATGTTCACTGCAGCTTGATAATGGATTATTTTAGTTTACATCATTTTTAAGCCATAATTTTCCAATTAAATTTTAGTTTTTTTCAAAGACTTTCTAATTACCTTCTTTTTTTCCTTTAGAGTAAATAATAAATAAATACTTTCTTCACCATGTCACTGAGTATGTTCATGTTCTCTTTATCCATTTCTATCTACTGCTTGGAACTCATTCAATTTTTTCTTGAAAACATTCCCCTAGTTGTCTATCAATTTATCTTAGACCAGTTGCTTTCTAAGCCTCTTGTATCTCCCTCTTTTCTCTTTCACCTCTTAAGAGGTGTATTCGTTTTTTATTGCTATCATAACAAATTACTACACATTTAGTGGCTAAAATCAACACCCACTCATTATGTTGCAGTTCTGTAAATCAGAAGTCTAGGTACAGTGTGGCTCAACTGAGTCTTCCACTTAGGGTCTTACAAGGCCTACCAAGGTGTCAACAGGGCTGAGCTTCTTTCAGGAGGCTTTGCGGGGTGAATCTACTTCCAGCTTATTCAGGTTGTTGACAGAATTCAGTTCCGTACTTTTGTAGAATTGAGGTCCTCAATTTCTTGCTGGCTGTTGGCTGGGGTCATCTCAACTTTTAGAAGCAGCCTTCATTCTTTTGACTCATGATCTCATTTCATTTCAGCCTATAATTGTGGATTGAGTTCTTATACTTGGTTTATTTATTTACCTACTTATTTATTTGAGCCAGAGTCTCACTCTGTTGCCCATGCTGGAGAGTGCAATGGCGCAATCTTGGCTCACTGCAACCTCCATCTCCCGGGTTCAAGCAATTCTCCCGCCTCAGCCTCCTGAGCAGGTGGGACTACAGGCATGTGCCACCATGCCTGGCTAATTTTTGGATTTTTAGTAGAGACAGGGTTTCGTGTTGGCCAGGCTGGTTTCAAACTCCTGACCTCAGGTGATCCACCTGCCTCGGCCTCTCAAGGTGATGGGATTACAGGCATGAGTTATCATGCCCGGCCAGAGTTCTTATACTTTAAATCTCTCTAACCTCTCCTGCTTCATTTTTTCTGCCTCTAAGTGGAAGAAGTTCTCTGATTTTTAGGACTCACATGATTAGACTGAGCCCACTGGATAATCCAGGATAAACTCCCTATTTTAAGGTTAATAACCTTAATTACACTTACAAAGTTCCTTTTTCCATGCAGTGTAACATTAACAAATTTCAAGGATTAGGACATGGACATCTTCGATGGGTCATTCTATCTGCCACACTCTTGTATTTTACATCTATCTTATTTTTGGATTTCATTCTTACTTTTCTGGAGTACATATTTCAGAAAGAGTATATGATAATTGAACTTTCTGAAATCTTTATTATGTACTCATAATTGAGTTTTGTTCTGACAGGAAATAGAATTCTAAGTTCAAAATAATTTTCACTTACAATTTTGAAGGTATTATCTTTCGGTATCTAAAGTTTCTGATGAGAAATCTGATACTAGCTCAATTCTTAAATTCTTTTATAAAAGGTCAGATTCTTGTGACTGGAAGCTTTTAGGCCTTTTTCTTTATTTTTGATGCTCTGAAATGGCTTCTTTATGTGTCTAGGTGTGGTTCTTTTACTATTATTTTGCTCAGTACTAAATGTGTTCTATCAATTTGGAGACCTGTATTTATCTTCAGTTCCTCGAAGTATCTTTTCAATGTGTGATATTTTTCTCCTCCTCCTCTTGTTCTCTCTTTCAGAAATTCTTATTAGTCAAATAATGAATTAGTCCTCCATTTTTTTCTCAAAATTCTCCATGTTTTTGTTTGAATACTGCAAGTTTTGTGATATTTTTTCAATTAAATCATCTTGCCAGTTTAATTTTTACATTCATGTTTATTTTCAACAGTCTTTTCTTATTCTCCAATGCTCCTTTTTCAGAGTATTCTGTTCTCTAATATTTTCTTGAGTACTTCTTAGGCAGCTTATTATTATTAATTTCTTATTATTTTATTTTGGTTCCTTAGCTGACTCAGAGTCTTCCTGAAATGGTTTTTAGTTTTATCTTTCATGCTGTTGATTTTCATATCTCTGATGGTTTTTCATTCTTCATTCATTTTAAAGACTCAGGCCACGTGCCGTAGCTCACGTTTGTAATCCCAGCACTTCAGGAGGCCAAGGCGCAAGGTGGGAGGTTGCTTGAGCCCAGGAGGTTGAGGTTGCAGTGAGCTATGATCTAAGGCCATGTCATTGCCCTCCAGCCTGGGCAACAGAGAGAACCCCCGTCTCTAAAAAAAGGAAAAAAAAAAGAGTGGAGTTCTAGATAGATGTAAAGAGACAAAACACTGGGGAGAGGAATCTGGAGGAACTGAAGTACAGTGGTTTCCTAAAGAGGTTTTAAATTGACATTTTGTTTTTAGCCCCCTTCTCATTTCCACCTTCTACTGTACAAGGGAACTCTATTCCTGGAGTCTCTCTGGGACTTTGCTAGGTAGATCAACTCTCTGTGAAACATAAGTCATCTCTGGAAAATTATAGGATGCCACTTCAGTGATCTGTTTCATTTGTCAACAAGTTTCCATATTTCTTTTGATCTTTCCAATAATTTTTTAAATACCTAGTCTGCTGATGGTCCCTCTCCAGGTCACTTCAGCTTTAGAAATTAATTTATTGGCTAGGCATGGGAGCTAATTCCTGTAATCTCAACACTCTGGGAGCCTGAGGCTGGAGGGTCACTTGAGACCAGGAGTTCTAGACCAGCCTGGGCAACACAGCAACACAGTGTAA